>NC_000009.12:33797878-33949393 GCF_000001405.40 Homo sapiens | reverse complement strand
TCTCACACTGATCTCTTCTTTGACTGTACATCTTGTAATCATTAAAGATGAAGACTGTGGTTCACAGACTAGGAAAATAATGTGTTTTTGTTGGTCAAGCATATCTTTGTCATGTATTTCATGGCATTCCTCTTTAGTTTTTTTAAATAGTGATATTTAATTGTGAACTTATGACATCACTTTTTATTATTTTATTTTATTTTTATTTATTTATTTATTTATTTTTTGAGATGGAGTCTTGCTCTGTCGCCCAGGCTGTAGTGCAGTGGCGTGATCTCTGCTCACTACAAGCTCCGCCTCCTGGGTTCATGCCATTCTCCTGCCTCAGTCTCCCGAGTAGCTGGGACTACAAGCGCCTGCCAAAACTCCCGGCTAATTTTTTTGTATTTTTAGTAGAGCCGGGGTTTCACTGTGGTAGCCAGAATGGTCTCAATCTGCTGACCTCGTGATCCGCCTGACCTTGTAATCCACCTACCTTGGCCTCCCAAAGTGTTGGGATTACAGGCGTGAGCCACCGCGCCCGGCCAACATCACGTTTTTAAAAATTGATTTCTTCAAATTCATGGCAAATATTTCCCTTCCCTTTAACTTCTTATGTCAGAATGAGGAAGGATAGCTGCATTTATTTAGTCAGTTTTCATTGCATAGTAATATTTTCATGTAGTATTTTCTAAGTTATATTTTAGTAATTCATATGTTTTAGATTATAGGTTTTAACATACTTGTGAAAATACTTGATATGTTTTAAAGCCTTGGGCAGAAATTCTGTATTGTTGAGGATTTGTTCTTTTATCCCCCTTTTAAAGTCATCCGTCCTTGGCTCAGGATTTGGAGAGCTTGCACCACCAAAAATGGCAAACATCACCAGCTCCCAGATTTTGGACCAGTTGAAAGCTCCGAGTTTGGGCCAGTTTACCACCACCCCAAGTACACAGCAGAATAGTACAAGTCACCCTACAACTACTACTTCTTGGGACCTCAAGCCCCCAACATCCCAGTCCTCAGTCCTCAGTCATCTTGGTAGGTATACATTGTTTGTGGGTTTGCCCCTACTGAGGACGTTTCAAGCTTTGGCAGAGTGTGTTGACTTGTGAAGACTAATGTGGAATTTGTCCAGAGATGTTTCTTTTTAGTAGAACTCTTGCAGTTTCTCAGTTAAATCAGTCTTCCTTTGTTATACAATACTTGCATTTATTTGTTTTTGTTGTTGTTCTTGATAGTTTCATTATTGTTGGTAGTAATTGTGGTGGTAGTACATGCCTTGAAAAGTATGGTAAAAGCATGCAAATATGAACATCTAACACTTTGTGTAAATGCATGGACAGAATTTTCTGAGCTCTCTTAGAAGAGGGTGGTGATAGAACATAGAATGTGGAAAACATTTTAAGACTTTTTTTTTTTTTTTTTTTTTTGAGATGGGGTCTTCCTGTGCTGCGTAGGCTGATCTCCACCTCCTGGCCTCAAGCAGTCTTTTAATCTCAGCCTTCTGAGTAACTGGGATTATAGATGTGCACCACTGTATCCAGCCTAGACAATATTTTACTCTATTATTTTATTTTTTTTTTTTTTGAGTCAGGATCTTGCTCTGTTGCACAGGCTGGAGTACAGTGGCACAGTAACGCGTCACTGCCATCTTGACCTCCCAGGCTCAGTCCATCCTCCCACCTCAGCCTCTCTAGTAGGTGGGACTATAGGCACATGCCGTCACTCCTGGCTGATTTTTTTGTATTTTTTTAATGTGACAGGGGTTTGCCATGTTGCCCAGGCTGGTCTGGAACTCCTGGACTAAGGTGATCTGCCCACCTCGGCCTCCAAAAGTGCTGAGATCACAGGTGTGAGCCACCACGCCCGGCCTGGACAGTATTTTAACTATCACACTCTCATGCTTTCTCATTCTAACATTTTGAAGTATCAACTATGATTTCATCAACCTTTACATTCCGTGGTTTGTATTGTAAAGGTCCCATGTGTAGACTGGATGTTTTCTAAACTAAACTCCCACAGAAATTGTGACATTAAGCCACCATTCCCCACCAGCACTCACATGCCACACTGTATTAAGGAATAGCAGGGGATTTCATTCATTGTGGAGCTGGCCATGTGGGCTGGTTTATGGTTAGGGCATATAGAGAGACAGGGAAGCATATTCCTCTGTTCTGTGAAATGACTTACTGTGTTGGAAGTACATGAGACCACTCCGGGGTTTGAAGCGATGTCTACCAAGGGAAATCATTAGAGACTCAGTGCCCAAAGTTTTTGCTGGGGCAAGAAATGTAGGTACCCTGTGCCTACATTTTTTGCTATAGCACATAGCAAAATTACAGATTCCTAGAAGGAAAGCAGATGTTGAGCATAAACCACATTGTTTATACAGACATTCTTAGCACAGTGAGCCACTCTTAATAGGTTAGTGTGTTGGCACCCTTTGCCAAGTACATACCAGCAGTCCAAATTCTCAGACATTAGCCAAGGTCCAGTCATCAAGCAGGCCTTTTTGAGAGGAATTGTAGGTCCCTATATTAACTTTTTCTGCACACATAACTAGTGAGTGATAGGACTTTTTAGATAGAACCATGCTATTCCCATATTCTTTATAAAACCTGTGTGTTTGGTGCATGCCTATAATACCAAGTTCAAAAATGAATGCGCCTAAACCAGCTCTGCCATTTGTTTTTTTTTAAATTAAATTCTGTTGACACTCAGCTAGCTGGGCACAGTGGCTCATGTAATCCCAGCACTTGGGGAGGCAGAAGGAGGAGGATTGCTTGAGCAGGAGTTCGAGACCAGCCTGGGCAACGTGATGAGACACAAAGGCTAAAATATTAGGTTGTTGTACTATCTGGCCCCATAGAGAAAAAGAGGGCCAACCTCTGTCCCATATGGTAGAACTGGCTTTTCAAATCAGTAGTGAAAAAACGCTTTATTAAAACCGTTTGAAAAATGAAGTTGGATCTCTATGCCAAAATGCCAGTGGGTCAGATAGTTAAACATAAATAGTGAATCTAGAACTATAATAGAGAAAACACAGGAGAATTTTTTTGTTGTTCTGTGTGAGGGAGACCTTTCTGGGTATGGCAGAAAACACCAAATTAGGCAGACAAACAATGAAAAAAATACTCAAAATTTGTATCATAGACAAAAAGAGTTAATTTCCTTAATATAAAAAGAGTAAAAATAAAGCAGATCAACAAACAGGTTAAAAAACTGGCTAAAGAGATAAGAACAGTCTATAAGTAAAGAACACTTAAGTATATGAAATGATACTTAGCACATTTGTATCATTTTAGTTTGTATTTTTTAATACCATTTTCCACCAATTAAACCAGGAGATTCAAAAGTGTTTGATATTAGAGTGTGTTAAAAAGGATGTGTTCTATCTGTGGACAGTAATTTTATAATATTTATCAAAATTCAAAATATATTTACCCTGTGAAGGGGCAACTTTATCCTACCAGTTGATCCTACAGGTATACTTGTACTTGCACAAAATATCTTACATACAAATGTATTCATTAGTGCATTGCTTTTAATAGCATAAGATTTGACCTAAAAGTCCATTAATATAGTACTGGTTTTATAAAATGATACCTATGTGTACTAGATTTCTGTGTAGTCACCAAAATGAGTATGAAGTAGCTCTTTGAACATTAATGTGAGACACTCAATGGAAATTAAATGATTTGTGAGACAGTAAGGTATATAGTGTGTGTATATATATGTCTGTCTGTCTGTCTGTCTATATATATTGTGATATAGTATCTCTGAAAGAGACATTCAGGAAAACCGGGTACAGTGTTTGCCTTTGTGGAGCAAGTATGGGAGAGTGGTGTGGAAGAGAAACATAATATTCGTCATACATATTCTTGTATCTATTGGATTTTGTTTTTTGTTTGTTTGTTTGTCACCCAGTCTGTCACCCAGGCTGGAGTGCAGTGGCGCCATCTCAGCTCACTGCAAGCTCCGCCTCCCGGGTTCACGTCATAGGGCCTGCCTCAGCCTCCCGAGTAGCTGGGACTACAGGTGCCCACCACCACACCCGGCTAATTTTTTTGTATTTTTAGTAGAGATGGGGTTTCACCATGTTAGCCAGGATGGTCTTGATCTCCTGACTTCGTGATCTGCCTGCCTCGGCCTCCCAAAGTGTTGGGATTACAGGCGTGAGCCACTGCGCCCAGCCATCTTTTGGATTTTGTAACATCATATATATATATATATCAATTAGTCCAAAAACTTAATAAGTTTTTTTTTTTTTAATTTTTGGATGAAGACATGGTCTTGTTTTGTCATCCAGGCTGGAATGCAGTGGTGCAATCATAGCTCACTGCAGCCTTGTACTCCTGGGCTAAAGCAATCCTCCCACCTCAGCCTCCCAAAGTGCTGGCATTATAGGCATGAGTGACTGTGCCTGGCTCAAATTTTTAACAGTTATGTAGAAAATCCATAAAATAATAAAAGTATGATTCTCTGTTAGCTAATGGTCAGGTGTGTATAGCACCATAATATTGTTCTCACGAGTTCATCACTCCCTATGCTTAAACATAAACCAAATCTCTCTGGATAGGAAACAAGGTGTGTACCCATTTAGGAACTTTTCCCGTTTATCATAAATGAAGTGTTACACATAGTGTGTGTAAAACCTAAGAAATTCAACTGGAAATGATTTGGAGAAATTGGTGGTAATAGAACACTTCATGTTCTATTGAAGAACATTGTGAAGCCATTATGCCTCATTAATTGCTGCTTACTTTTTTTAGACTTCAAATCTCAACCTGAGCCATCCCCAGTTCTTAGCCAGTTGAGCCAGCGACAACAGCACCAGAGCCAGGCAGTCACTGTTCCTCCTCCTGGTTTGGAGTCCTTTCCTTCCCAGGCAAAACTTCGAGAATCAACACCTGGAGACAGTCCCTCCACTGTGAACAAGCTTTTGCAGCTTCCCAGCACGACCATTGAAAATATCTCTGTGTCTGTCCACCAGCCACAGCCCAAACACATCAAACTTGCTAAGCGGCGGATACCCCCAGCTTCTAAGGTGGGCATTTCATCATGAAGTCACCGTCCTAAAGCTGGAATTATTTTTACATTCAGCTCTAGTGGGATACTAAGTTTTGGAAACTGGGGTACAGTGTTTTTCAAGCACATAGCTTATTGATTGCATAATAAGGATATGGCCATTTCTGAGTGACCAGACTAGTATTAGAGGGAATGGG
Source organism: Homo sapiens (assembly GCF_000001405.40). Lineage (NCBI taxonomy): Eukaryota > Metazoa > Chordata > Mammalia > Primates > Hominidae > Homo > Homo sapiens. Next base: position 33,944,186 of record NC_000009.12, on the reverse strand, counting down.
TTTGTGCTGAGAGCCACAGATCCTTATTTCAAGTACAGATTTGAAGATCTGGCTCAGAGAACTGTTGTTCTTGAGGGTTTTGCTGTATCCCATAGTTGGAGGATGCATGGTTCCTTGACCAGGTGATACTTTCATCATTGGTGAGTCCCCAAAAATAGAGTAGTCAGCTCAGTGTTCACTTCCCACCCACCATCACAACTCCCCCGCATTGCTCTTAGATGCAGGTGGTGATATTAATGCCAACCATTCCTGTTTAACTTTTAATTTCTCCTTTTTTTTTTTAAATGAGACAGGGTCTCGCCGTGTTGTCCAGGCTGGTCTTGAACTCCTGGGTGCAAATGATCCTCCTGTCTTGGCCTCCCAAAGTCCTGGGATTACAGGCATGAGCCACCATGCCCAGCCAACTTTTAATTTTTCTTAGCTTGTTTTTTTTCTTTCTCTTTTTAGAAAAGTCTTAGCCTATTTTCTCCTTGTTTCTCACTCCTTCTTCTTGCCAGTATTGCCTGGGAACCTAAATGCTTGTTTGGCTCTGTTATAGGCCTTTGTGACCTGGAATCTGTGACCTCTGTTCCTGACACGACAGCTTTGCTTTTTCAGATCCCAGCTTCTGCAGTGGAAATGCCTGGTTCAGCAGATGTCACAGGATTAAATGTGCAGTTTGGGGCTCTGGAATTTGGGTCAGAACCTTCTCTCTCTGAATTTGGATCAGCTCCAAGCAGTGAAAATAGTAATCAGATTCCCATCAGCTTGTATTCGAAGTCTTTAAGGTACTGAATTTAGTCCTTTGTTATGAAGCAAAATAGACCCTAAGAGAGATCAACTGGTGGAAAAGAATACATCCTGTGGTAATAGCTATCCTCAGTGTTTATCCAGACCTTCCATCATCTCCATAAGAAACCCCATACCTGTAGCAGACAGTCTCAGTTTCTTCATTGCCCTGCCCCTTAGCAACCAATAATCTGTCTCTGGATTTGCCTACCTGGACATTTCATATAACTGGAATCTTGGAATATGTGGCCTTTTATGTCTGATCTTTCACTTAGTGTAAGTTTTCGAGGTACACCCATGTTTAATGTATCATTTTTATTGCCAAATATTTCATTGTGTTGATAATACCACATTTTATTCATTCATTAGTTGGTGGACATTTGGGTTGTTTGCTCTTTTTGACTATAGTGAATGATGCTGCTATGGACATTTGGTTTCAAGTTTTGCATGCTTTCAGTTCTTTGGGATGTATATCCCAGGAGTAGAGTTGCTGAGTCATATGGTAACTTAACCATTCAGGAAACTCCCATACTGTTTCCACTGTGGCTGTAGCATTTGACATTCCTACCAGTAGTCTATGAGGGATCTAATTTCTCCACATGTTTGCAGCAGTCATTTTCCTTCAGTGGAATATTTTATAAATACAAAATCTCAGATTTTAGTTTTCTTTTCTTTTCTTTTTTTTTTTTTTGAGATAGGGTCTTGCTCTGTTGTCCAGGCTGGAGTGCAGCAGCATGCTTGGCTCGCTGCAACCTCTGCCTCCCAGGCTCAAATGATCCTCCTGCCTCAGACTCCTGAGTATCTGGGATTACAGGCGTGCACCACCATGCCCAGCTAATTTTTAAATATGTTTTGTAGAGACAGGGTTTCGTCATGTTGCCCAGACTGGCCTCAAACTCTGGAGCTCAATGAATCTGCCTGCATCAGCCTCCCAAAGTGCTGGGATTACAGGCATGAGCCACCGGCCTGGCTGACTTTGTTGTTGTTGTTGTTTTAGTTTTTTCACATTCCAGAGGCAAAACCTGATATTTGTTTAAGTTTCCTTTTTAAAGATGGTCTCAAACACCTGGATTCCTTAAAGAATCTTCTTATTTTTTTTCTTTTTTTCTAGACAGAGTCTTGCTCTGTCGCCAGGCTGGAGTGCAGTGGCGCGATCTTGGTTCACTGCAACCTCTGCCTCCCGAGTTCAAGTGATTCTCCTTTCTCAGCCTCCAGAGTGGCTGGGATTACAGGTGCCCACTGCCACGCCCTGCTAATTTTTGTATTTTTAGTAGAGACGGGGTTTCACCATGTTGGCAAGGATGGTCTCGATCTCCTGACCTCCGGATCCGCCCACCTCTGCCTCTCAAAGTGCTGGGATTACAGGCGTGAGCCACCGCACGCAGCCTAAGTATTCTTAAAGATGTCCCCCTATCTCTCAGTTAAATTAGGTGGGTCTCATTTGGGATAATAAATTGATGCAGTAGTTGCATCTCGTGAAGCTGTTTATGTTTTTTTTTTTTTATGAAGCTATTTAAAGTAACAAAATTATGTTGAATATTTTTGACTCTTTTCAGTGAGCCTTTGAATACATCTTTATCAATGACCAGTGCAGTACAGAACTCCACATATACAACTTCCGTCATTACCTCCTGCAGTCTGACAAGCTCATCACTGAATTCTGCTAGTCCAGTAGCAATGTCTTCCTCTTATGACCAGAGTTCTGTGCATAACAGGATCCCATACCAAAGCCCTGTGAGTTCATCAGAGTCAGCTCCAGGAACCATCATGGTAAGTGGTATTTTAGTTTTTTTCTCAGAAGATGTCCGTCTTATTTGGAAATTAATGTTTGGTTAAATTATGCTTCTTGGATATGATTTTATTTTACAAATTGACTAACCTTTTGAGTAGAATCCTTATAGTTCATTGAGTTTGTTTATAGTGGGCATCTCTAGCACCCATGCTCTTGAGTGTGTGGATAGATCTGCAGGTTCATACACTTTGTGGAGAAAACCAAGCATGCGTGTAGTATGAGCACTTTGGCTGTAGTACTGGGTACTTCTACATTGTCTGAAATATCTCTGAATATTTCATGTACTGCTTTCTCTCTGATTGCCCCATTTGCTTTGAATGTATTTGCTTCTTCATCACTGTTAGGTATTTTTGTGTTAAAATTATGTATTTTCTACCTAGTTTTTGTTAATAATACTGGACTATAGATAAAGGAACCAGATCTATTTTTGATATAGTTTTAAAGTTTTACCCTTCTAGATTCTTGCTAACTGCATATCTGATGGTCATTGCCAGTTGTATTGCTTTCTGTTAAGTTGAGATGTACCAATATCTCCTGAGAATCTTAGAAAGAAACTTAAAAAAGAACAAGTATACACATTTCATGTCACACTAGTAATACTTGAACATCATTCTGTCCCAGGAAATTAAAATAATATGGATGACACTACAGGCATACCTTGGAGATACTGCAGGTTGTTTTATACCACTGCAATAAAGAAAGTTGCGCTAATTTTTTGGTTTCCTAGTGCATATAAAAGTTACAATGTGGATATCTTAATTAAAGATACTTTATTGATAAGAAATGCTAAAAATTAATATGTGAGCATTCAGTGTGAGCAATTCTGTGGATTGTTTGTTTTTTGGGGGAGTACAGGTTCTTGCTTTGTCACCCAGGTTAGAGTCCAGTGGCGCGATCACAGCACACTGCAGCCTTGACCTCCCGGGCTCAGTGAGTCCTCCCACCCTAGCCTCCCAAAGAGCTGGGACTACAGACATGCATTGCCATGTCTGGCTGACTTTTGTATTTTGTTTAGAGACGGGGTATCACCATGTTGCCCAGTCTGATCTTGAACTGCTGGGTTCACGCAATCCACCTATCTTGGCCTTCTTCCAAAGTGCTGGGATTATAGGGTGAGCCACTACACTGGGCTCTTTGTTCCTTTTATCACTTGACATTATTTTGTAAATATGACATGATAGCTTAGGATTTCAGCTCAACAACTCTGTATGTCCAAGGTTTCTGAGTAAATTTTTAAGCCAACAATTTTTATTAACAGTGCTGGAACTTGATAATCCTATGAGTAAATCCAAGCCCTTGCCCCACAAGAACCCCTCCTAGGGTGTATACACCCTCACACACACATTTGCAGCATCTTACTTGGTGTAGGCAGCTGAGAAAAGTATAGATATGCTTCCAGTTTAGGAAGAAGCCTTTCTAGAGCCAAAGAAACGACACTGTGGTGGTTCCCATATTAAATCTGCCTGCATGCATCCGATGTCTTAACTGCATTTGAATTAAGGAATCTTGTCGTCGTGGCCTTCTTCCTCCTCCTCCTTTTTTTCTTCTTTTTCTTTTCTTCTTCTTTCCCCTCTCCCTCTCCCTCTCTTCCCTCTCCCTCCTCTCCCTCCCCCTCCTCTTTCCCCTCCTCCTCACCCTCCTCCCTCCTACCTTATTTTTTCTTCTTCTTCCTTCCTTCCCTCTTTCTTCTTCTTCCTTCTCCTCTTCTTCTCCTCCCCATCCTCCTCCTCCTCCCCTCCTCCTCCTCCTCCCCTCCTCCTCCTCCTCCCCCTCCCCCTCCTCCCCCTCCCCCTCCTCCCCCCCTTCCTCCTCCCCTTCCTCCTCCCCTTCCTCCTCCCCTTCCTCCTCCCCTTCCTCCTCCCCCTCCCCCTCCCCCCCTTCTCCCTCCCTCTCCTTCTCTTCTTCATTTTGATACAGGGTCTGGCTCTGTCACCCACTGAAGTGCAGTGGTGTGATCACAACTGCCTGCAACCTCAGCCTCCCGAGTAGTGGGGACTGCAGACACATGCCACCATACCTGGCTAATTTTTTTGTAGAGATGGGGTTTCATCATGTTACCCAGGCTAGTCTCAAGGAATCTTGTCTTATAAAGCACACAAATGGCTGAGAGCATTAAAAACACATAGGAATCTGGGCGCAGTGGCTCACTCCTGTAATCCCAGCACTTTTGGAGGCTGAGGCAGGCAGATCACCTGAGATCAGGAGTTCGAGACCAGCCTGGGCAACATGGTGAAACCCTGTCTCTACTAAAATACAAAAATTAGCCTGATGTGGTAGTGCGTGCCTGTAGTCCCAGCTACTACTTGGGAGGCTGAAGTGGGAGAATCGCTTGAACCTGGGAGGCGGAGGAGGTTGCAGTGAGTGGAGATCACACCGTTGCACTCCAGCCTGGGTGACAGAGCAAGACTCCATCTCAAAAAAAAAAAAAAAAAAAAAAGACATAGGAAATCAAATAATGTTATTAAGCTATGTTTTCTGAGATTATGCCACTCTACCTCTAATGAGACATAAAATCACAAACAGGAATAGAATCTTGGAACATATAAACTGAGTAAAATGGGGAGCTTTCCATGTTTTGTCTTTTCATCATTCCCTTCAACTAAACATTTAGAAAAATATTTGTGTCCCTTGTCCGTCTTGGATGGATCATCCTCCCTTCCTTTTTCTCTTCCCCTTCCACAGCCTGGAATATCCACAGATTAAAATTACCTTCTCAGAGATGCTTTGACAGAAATAAGTTAGAGTCTATATCCTGACAGATGGGCACTGAAACAAGAAAAACCATGTGAACTATGGAAATTTCAATGACAAGCTTTTTTTTTTTTTTTTTTGAGATGGAGTCTTGCTCTGTTGCCCAGGCTGGAGTGCAATGGCGTGATCTTGGCTCACTCCAACCTCCACCTCCCGGGTTCAAGCGATTCTCCTGCCTCAGCCTCCCTAGTAGCTGTGATTACAGGCACCCATCACCATGCTGGCTAATTTTTGTATTTTTAGTAGAGACAGGGTTTCACCATGTTGCCCAGGCTGGTCTCGAACTCCTGACCTCAGGTGATCTGCCTGCCTTGGCCTCCCAAAGTGCTGGGATTACAGGCGTGAGCCACCACGCCCGGCCAATGACAAGCTGTTTTTGTTTCAACATAAGTTTTTGAGAAGCTTATCGTGTAACATTTCTTACATAATCTAAACAATCATGTTGGGCTGGGCATGGTGGCTTATGTCTGGAACCCCAGCACTTTGAGAGGTGGAGGCAGGTGGATTGCTTGAGGTCAGGAGTTTGAGACCAGCCTAAGCAACATGACAAAAAACTCTGTCTCTACAAAAAATACAAAAAGTGGCTGGGCGTGGTGGTGCGAGCCTGTGGTCCTGGCAATTTGGGAGACTGAGGCAGGTGGATCACTTGAGCCCAGGAGTTCACAACCAGACTGGACAACATGATGAGACCCTGCCTCTACAAATAATAATAATAATTAGGTGTGATGGTACAGACCTGTAGTCCCAGCTACTCGGGAAGCTGAGGTGGGAGGATGGCTTGAACCAGGAAGCGGAGGTTGCAATGAGCCGAGATCACACCACTGCACACCTGCCTGGGTGACAGAGCCAGACACTGTCTCAAAACAAAAACAAAAAAACAAAAGAAACCCCCCAAAACAACTATACACAATGTAGTTGTGTGTAATGTAGTGTGTGTAAATATATGTATCTATTTTTTGAGAGGGAGGTTTGCTGTTGTTGCCCAGGCTGGAGTGCCACGGTCCCGGCTCACTGCAACCTCTGCCTCCTGGGTTCACGTGATTCTCCTGCCTCAGCCTCCTGACTAGCTGGGATTACAGCCGCCCACCACCACACCTGGCTAATTTTTTTTTTTTTTTTTGTATTTTTTAAATAGAGACGGGGTTTCATCATGTTTGCCAGGCTGGTCTTGAACTCCTGACCTCAGGTGATCAACCCACCACAGCTGCCCAACGTGCCAGGATTACAGGCATGAGCCATTGTGCCCAGCTTAATTTTTTTTTTTTTTTTTTTTTTTGAGACAGAGTCTGGCTCTATCGCCCAGTGCAGTGGTGCGATCTTGGCTCACTGCTACCTCTTCCTCCCAGGTTCAAATGATTCTCTTTCCTCAGCCTCCCGACTAGCTAGAACTACAGGTGTGTGTCACCCCACCTAGCTAATTTTTGTAGTTTTAGTATAGGTGGGGTTTCACTATGTTGGCTAGGCTGGTCTCGATCTCCTGACCTCAAATGATACGTCCTCCTTGGCCTCCCATAGTGCTGGGACTACGGGTGTGAGCCACTGCATCCCCTGTCAACTTGATACTATGTATTCTCAACTACATGCTAGATAATTTTACTTATTTACACCCCAGACGCAGTTAAATTGAACCTTTGTCAGACTTTTCCCTCTGTATATTGCTACTTGTTGATTTTCCATCCTGGTTTTAGACATTAGTTCTTGATGTGCTACCATGCAATATAATTTTCACTTTTTTTTTTTTTTTGAATCACCACCAGTCTCACTTTATTTTTTAGAAAGAGTTTGTGTTGGATTGTTCTCCTTCCTACCTTAAATATTTAGTAGCATTCACCAGTACAGCTGTCTGGGCCAGAAGTTTTCTTTGCAAGGAGTTTTGTAATTGTAAATTCAATTCCTTCAATTGGTAGAGGGCTATTCAGACTGTTTTTTTTTTTTTTTTTTTTTTTTTTGAGCTGGAGTTTTGCTACAGTGCCCAGGGTGGTCATGAACTCCTGGGCGCAAGCAGTTCTCCTGTTCCAGCGTTCTGAGTAGCTGGATTACAGGTGTGGGCCACTGTGCTTCAGTTTCTTTTGCTGTTTGTGTATGTCAAGGAATTTGTCCATTTCATCTAAGTTGTTAATTTACTGGCATAAAACTTCAATGTATTTCTTTCCTGTCCTTTTAATGTTTCTGAGATCTATAGTGGTATTGTCTCCTTTATTTATTTATTTGTTTTGTTTTGTTTTGTTTTTTGAGATGGAGTGTTGCTCTGTTGCCCATGCTGGAGTACAGTGGCGCAATGTCAGCTCACATGGTGGCTCACACCTGTAATCCCAACATTTTGGGAGGCTGAGGTGGGTGGATCACTTGAGGTCAGGAGTTTGAGACCAGCCTGGCCAACATGGTGAAACCCCATCTCTACTAAAAATACAAACATTAGCCTGGTGTAGTGGTGCGCGCCTGTAATCCCAGCTACTTGGGAGGCTGAGGTAGGAGAATCACTTGAACCTGGGAGATGGAGTTTGCAGTGATCTAAGATGCGCCATTGCACTCCAGCCTGGGTGACAGCGCAAGACACCATCTCAAAAAGTTACCTTTAAAAAAAAATTATTTGGGTCTGGGTGTGGTAGCTCATGCCTGTAATCCTGTGCTTTTGGAGGCCAAGGCAGGAGGATTGCTTGAGCCCAGGAGTTGGAGACCAGCCTGGTCAACATGGCAAAACCCCATCTCTACAGAAAATACAAGAATTAGCTAGGCATGGTAGGATGCACCTGTAGTCCCAGCTCCTAGGCAGGCTAAGGGGGAGGATCACCTGAACCTGGGGATGTGAAAAAAAATTTTTTTGAACATTTTTGTTCTTGCATGAGAGTTTGTTGTTTATCTTCCCTTTATTAAAAAATAGAATAAAAGAGATAATTGTTTCTTGATTAAGCTACATGTTGTAGAAAGTATAAAAAGCCACTCAGGTAATGATTTCATTTTGTAAGTTTATATTCTCTTCTCTTCTTTTCCTTATAGAATGGACATGGTGGTGGTCGAAGTCAGCAGACACTAGACAGTAAGTATAGCAGCAAGCTACTCTTGTCATGGCTGGTGCCAACCAAACAGAGGAAGAGGATAGCTCACGTGATGTGGAAAACACCAGTTGGTCAATGGCTTATTCGTTAAAAAGCAGCCCTTTTGCTTTTTTGTTTTTGGACCAGGTGTTGGCTGTGGTGTTATTAGAAATGTCTTAACCACAGCAAGAAGGAGGTGGTGGTCTCATATTCTTCTGCCCTAATCAGACTGCACCACAAGTGCAGCATACAGTATGCATTTTAAAGATGCTTGGGCCAGGCGGGGTGGCTGATGCCCATAATCCCAGTGCTTTGGGGGGCCAAGGCAGGCAGATTGCCCAAGCTCAGGAGTTTGAGACCACCCTGGGCAACATGGTGAAACTCTGTCTCTACTAAAATACGAAAAACTAGCCGGGTGTGGTGGCGGCGCGTGCCTGTAATCCCAGCTACTTGGGAGGCTGAGGCACAAGAATCGCTTGAGCCAGCTTGGGCTACAAAGTGAGACTCCGTCTGAAAAGAAAAAAAAAAAAGAAAGAAACTACTTCTAAATCAAAAATTTACTATTCTTGTTCAGGAAAGATAGGCTCATTGTCTTTAGGACCTGAAGGACTGTTGCTTAGAAAGAGAGATAAATGTTCACTGTGGACATTTGGGAGAAAATGAGACCCCCCCCCCCCGCCACTTCCAACAGCTCAGTGATTACCAAAGATAGTGCAGGTAAATCCGTTAATTGCTTCTTTTCTGTAGTTGGCCAGCTTGACTGATGGTTTATAGTAGTTTTCTTTCTTTATTCAGGAAGGCAAATGGGTGGGGAAGCCAGAAAGACTCTTTAAATAGGATTTCCTGGGAGTGCGGATATTGAACTTAAGCAGACCGAGGTGAGCCTCAGTTGAAACTGTAATGACAGATTTGGAGCCCCAGGATTTTGGTTTGACATTTGCTGGTATTGTTGGGCTGCCAAGGCTGTTTGGAGATTCGTTGGTCGTTCTGAGCTTGTTGGATGACAGAGGAACTTTTGACTCTAGCAGTGGTAGTGGCAGGTTTCTTTTGTCTAGGCATGGGTCGAGAACTAAAGTATCTGGGAAGCAGTGTACATTAACCTACTTTTCATTTCCCATACTCTCTTCTCCCTCACTTCCTCCTCCCCTTCCCTCCCCATTTTGTTTGTTTGTTTGAGAGAGGCTTCCTGTGAAGCTGTTAGCATCATAATACAAGGCCCAGGGCGGTATGTTTTGGGGTCTTAGTTTTAGGTGAGGTGTATCTGTGGTGTCTTTATACAGTTTATCTATGAACAAGGTTTATATATGGAAGAGACTGCCAATAAAAAGAAGGCCTCTGTAAGAACTGACCTAGGTGTAAGTTGACCCTTTCATTGCTTATGTTTGTTTTTGACCTGCCCTTCCTTTAGAGACTCAAGTGCTTTCCCTGGGTTTTAGAAGGGTCAAGGTTGCTCCTCTTTCCTAACTGGAAAAGACAATGATGTTTTATTTCCAAGCACATATCTGAGTTGTATGTGTGGACAGCACTGAGACTGAGTCTTTCCACAGCTAGGACTGAGTGTCTCCACATCCTTTCTGAAGCCTACGAAGCTCATTTATGTGCTCTGAGATACATCTATTCAAGCACATACCAAGGAAATGCTCACTGTGCATTTGGAAGTAGGTGTTGGACAGTTGGACTGCAGATGTTAGGTGTCTGTGTCTCTCCACAACATAGGCATCAACCCCAATCTGCCTTACGTTGGCCGTGAGCATTGGTAGAGTCAGCCTGACTTGGCGGAAGCACGTGTAGGTGGTCTTGCCTGTTAGCTTCTTACTCCCCCTTGCTGTGCCCTTTGAGGAGTTTGCCTCACGTTATAATTCTACATATTAGGCTCAGCACCTGTTTTTCTTTCTGGATGCATCTACAGCTTAGGTTCCTTTAGGTGTGAAAAGTATGTCCCCATATAGGATAGGTTGGGTTATAAAGGTGTCATTTCCTATTCTTTGCTGCATCTTGAACAGCTGACCATGGTGTGGTGTCCTTTGATAGTGTTGTTTGACAGACAAAGGGCTATCTGGCGATATGCTTGGCATTTTCCTGGGGAATGTAACTTTATGGACGTCTCAACTGAGGCTGACATGTCACAAGATATTGAGCATATTTTCAGGCACTTAGGATTGGTTTTAGAAATAAACAGATCTGCTTCTTACAGCTACTTCATCTGTTCCAGCTCCAAAGACAACAGGCCCTCCCTCTGCCCTCCCGTCTGTGAGCTCCCTGCCCAGCACCACCTCCTGCACTGCACTTCTGCCGTCCACATCCCAGCACACTGGCGACCTGACTAGCAGCCCTCTCTCTCAGCTTAGCAGGTATGGGGAAGGTGTGGGCCCAAAGTGAGAAGTACCTTGGGGCAAGTCCTGGAGCTCCTGTAGAAGGTTGCTTTCATGAACAGAGCACACTTGTTGTCTCTGACGTGATGTCCTGGGCTTTTGCATTACGACTGTAGCTTAGGTTTTGGCCAGGTTGTTCCTTAAAACCACCAGATATGGAAACCTTGCCTGCTTGTACCGCCTCTGCTGGCACAGAGCACTGGGTCCCCTGGGAGTAGGGTGAGGCCAGCAGCTCCCTCCTACCTGTCTTCACCCTCCAGAGGGTGCCTGAGCCTAGCCTCTCTGGGCATCGCTGGGCCCATGTCACTGAGGTGGAATGAGAATGATGGATTTCTGAGCAGGTGTCTGACTTGAACTTTCCATGGCTGAAGAAACGATGTTATTAGAACAAGGTGTAGGAAAATGGGTGGCGTTGCTACCTGTGTCTTCTGAGGAGTGTTCTCCATCACTCTTTAGCTAGGAGCAAAAGTGGATTTGATGGGAATTGGCATGTGGAGTTGAGCATAGGAACTTTGATCCCTCGTTCACAGATTGAATGGGATTGTCAAGGATGACCGTGTTCTTAGTGCAACTCTGTCTTCACTTTTCGCATCTGAGGAGCAAATGGATGTCGTTGAGGGAAGCTGGCTCTGGAGTTTTCCAGACCTCATGGCGAGTCATTCCCGTCCACCAGGACCCCATCACTGGGCTCTGTGGGGATAAGGAATGAGGATGGGTCTGAAGCCGGTCCTGTGCTAGGGACTATGATAAGTTTGAATCTAGCTCACTGACCCACGTGCGTCTTGTTCATCTGGAGTCACTTGTTCAGGTGGACATACGGCGCTCTGTTTTGTCTTCTAGTTCGCTCTCCAGCCACCAGAGCAGCCTCTCTGCACATGCAGCCCTCTCCTCGAGCACGTCACACACAGTAAGTGTCTGCGCGGCTTCCTCTTCCTCCGCCATGCTTGGGGAGCCTGGAGCTTAGTCACATGCAGCTGGGGCTTCAGTCTGATTTTTAGTGTCTGATAATCTAGAGTTGCTTGGCTGAAATGTCTTGATGGCATGATCTGGTTCGAGCTTCTGATTTCCTGGGCACCATCTGGGGACATCTTGCTTTCTAAGTTTGTAGCGCCTGGGAAGAATCATTGCTCCAGACCTTATCTGTCATTGGCAGGAGTGTCAGGTGGTGACCTTGCTCCCAGGAATTTGCTGTTTGATCTTTCCTCGTGCCTTCTTTCCTGACTCAGACGCAGAGATTGCAAGAAGGTCAATGTTGGAGAAGGGAGTCTAGATGGTGGAGGGCAGGAGTGGAAGCAAACATGCACTGCCGAGAAGCCAGGCAGGAGGGCTGGAGTCGGCGCGCCAGCTTTAATTTTCCTCATATGCCAAAGAGTAGCCCTAGATTATGGTTATTGAGGTGTGGCTCAGTGGGTCGTGGAGCCGTGAGCATGGCTTTCAGTGGTAGGAGTCAGCCAGATTGTGGTGGGTTGCGGAGTGAATGGTAGTGAGATGGAGAGGAGGGAGGAGGATTGTAGAGGGCATGCAATGAAAACTTAAGAGAGGCTGGAGCCTCTATTGGGAGGATAGAAAGGTGCCTGGATTAACAAAAAGTGCATGCTCCTGGACAACAGGAGGTGTTGGGCGAGGTTGGAGTAGGCAGGTCCACAGGCTGGGAGGAAGGATTAGGGTGCAGACGAATGGAGGAGGCAGGAAACTGATGAACTTGGTGTCCTCTGAAGAAGACAGCAGCTCACCAGCAGAGTGAGGTGGTGGAAAAGGGACATCCTGTCCTTTCCTCTGGATCTGGCTAATGCTGTGGCTTTCATACTCTAGTGTTCCAAGTCAAACCTTACACAGAATCTTTTATCATAAAACACACAAACTGCCACTTTCAAAGGAGAGCATAGTGTGGACACCTCTGCCTGTCCCTCTGCCCCTGCCCTCTGTGGCTCATGGGAGTGGTGAGCTGACCTCAGCAGGAGTGCCGTGGAGCTGTCCTCTGTGTCCGTGCCACTGCTGCCTGGGAGCCCAGTGCTCCTGCACTCATGGGGAGCTGCACTCTCCATCTCCTCAAAAAAAAACCTCCAGACCATGTATTCCAGCCTGCCACAGCCAGAATCGTCTCATCCAGTGGGTCCCATACTTTGTCAGCATGACAGAACTGTGACATTGCTAATACAGTTGTCCCTCCATATATGCAGGGGATTCATTCCAGGACCACTGCATACACCAAAATCTGCACATTCTCAAGTCCCACAGTTGCCCCTGTGGAACCCACCTATAGGAAAAGTCAGCCTTCCAAATATGGGTGTTTTCAAATTATGTATGCGTGCATTGGGTTGAAAAAGAAATCTGCCTGTAAGTGGACCCATGCATTTCAAGCCTGTGTTGTTCAGGGGTCAACTGTTTGTTCATAATATTTCATCTGAAAAGTTATGGAAAGATAGACAATGAAAAGTTTTTCTGTCTCTCATCTACTTGGCTCTACCCTTACATTTTCTCCATCCTTTTAATAAATAAAAGTCAAAACACGCAGTGCATACATGTAGTCATTTCCCCATTATCATCCGCTTTTTTTTTTTTTTTTTTTTTTTGAGATGCAGTCTCACTCTGTCGCCTAGGCTGGAGTGCAATGGCGCAATCTCAGCTCACTGCAACCTCCACTTCCCGGGTTCAAGCGATCCTCCTGCCTCAGTCTCCTGAGTAGCTGGGGTTACAGGCGCATACCACCATGCCCGGATAATTTTTGTATTTTTAGTAGAGACGGGATTTCACTATGTTGGTCAGACTGGTCTCAAACTCCTGACCTCGTAATCCACCCGCCTCGGCCTCCCAAAGTGGTGGGATTACAGGCGTGAACCACCGCGCCCGGCCATCATCTGCCCTTTTTATTCTTTTTCTCTTGTTACATAAATGAGAGTATTTTATGTACAGTGTCCTTCAACTTTTTTTTCCCCACTTGTGTATCCCCACAAGTGTATCTTGATGTTTCCATGTTGAAACTTAAGGGTTTTTTGTTGTTGTTGTTGTTGTTTCCCCACAGTTCTGCTTTATGATGTTATTTAAGGTTATTTAAGCAGCCGTCCATTTAGGGTCGTTTTCAGTCTTGATACCACAGAGAATGTTGCATTTGATAACCTACATATGTTGTTTCATGTGTATAGCTGTATGTAGCGGGTCAGTACGTGATGTGGAACAGCAAGGCATTTATGATTTTATACACATTTGCAGATTGCCCCGCATAGTGATTCAACCCTGTTTACCTCCCACTGGCGGTGAATGAAATATCCTATTACACCATGGCATCCTCAAAATGGTGTTATTAAACATTTGTATTTCCTTAATATGTTAGCAGAAAAATGGCCCATCAGTCTAGTTTTTAATGAGGTTGTACATCCTTTTTTTTATATATTTGAAAACCATTTGATTTCCTTTATGTGAGTTTTTAATTTTTATTTTATTTATTTATTTCTTATTATTTTTCTGAGACGGAGTTTTACTCTTGTGGCCTAGGCTGGAGTGCAATGGCATGATCTCAGCTTAGTGCAACCTCCACCTCCCAGGTTCAAGCAGTTCTCCTGCCTCAGCCTCCCTAGTAGCTGGGATTACAGGCACACGCCACCAGGCCCAGCTAATATTTTTATTATTTTAATAGAGGCAGGGTTTCACTGTGTTGACCAGGCTGGTCTCAAACTCCTGATCTCAGGTGATCCACCTGCCTCGGCCTCCCAAAGTGCTGGGATTACAGGCGTGAGCCACCGTGCCCGGCCTATGTGAGCTATTTATATTCTTGGTTCCTTTTTTTGTCAGGTCTTTGGTCTCTATTTCTATATTAGGGAGCCCTTGGTGATGGGAAGTACAGGTATTTTTCCCTAAGTTTGCTGTTTATGATTTTTTTTTACATAGATCTGTGTATTTTCTTCCATTTTCTTGTAGTTATATCTTTACCACTCTCCATCAATACATAAAGGAAATCTTAGCATCTTCTCCTGCCTTTACTTCTCTGGGCCTGTCCTGGGGAGTTGACTGCATAGGGCCCATTGGATGGACTGAGCGAAGCCTTGAAAATTAGTGTTGACTTTTTAATTCAGCAGGTTGATGTACTCCCAGTTCTGGAAGATGAGGGCCAGAGACAGGAACCCTGTCAGGCAGCTAAGGGAGAAGAGACTTGCCAGATGACTCTTGAGTCCCTTTCAGCAAGTCAGGACCTAGTTCCCTAGTGAGCATCTCTTAGCGATGGAGAATGTTCATTTTTCCTTCCGAGATTAAAAGGTTGTATATATCCAAGTACACTTGCGAGCACTGGTCAGAGCTGCTCCAGATTTCTGTGGCAGTTGGTGGGGAGTCTGCCTCCTTAGTGAGAACCTAGTTGGTGGGCAGGCCAGTGCATCCTTTGGCCCGCTCCTGGTGGGGCTCTCTCCGGCCTGGTCCTGCCCATCTGTGCTGAAGGAACAAGACGCCTTGGAGCCCCAGGAAACCATGTTTTTGGCTGTCTTTACCTTGGTGAATCTGTTCTGGATGTTAGCTCTGTAAAGCCAGTGCCCAGGCGGGTAGTGACCTGTGGGCATGGGATGGCGGCGGAGAGTTAGTCTGCGCAGGCAGGTTGGGTCCTTCTCCTGGGCCCTTCCCGTTCTTTGGCTTTTCTTCTACGAGTTTATATGCTGCTTTCTATGTCCTGGTTTGGAGACTGGTCTCCCTCTTACAGAGCTTTTCTTCCCTTTTTTGAGACTTGCCTTGTCCACCTAGGTGTGCCCCCCACCTACCTGCTCGGAGCTTGAAGTTCTTCATAGGACCCTGTTGCTAGGGTTGGGCAGCTAGGCAGGGCTTCTGGGACTCGGGGCTGATGGAGCATCCGCTGGTTCACTCTTTCTTCACAGGGGTACCTTGTCAAACAGGCATAAGTGGCAGGCCATGCCCTTTTAGGTGGGCACTGGTGAGGCATTGGTGGACTGAAAGGTGTCACCAGGTTTTGGAGCAAAGGCCTCTCTCAGCCTCCTGTTTCCAGACCACAGTGGCTGAGAATCCCAATAGAAGGGAAATCTCCAAAAGATTGAGACTTACGCTGGGCTTCCTGTGGCCTGTGCTCGCCTCTTCTCAGACTGTTTGCTTTGCTCTGAGGTAGGTACTTGTCCCATATTCAGATAGTCTGTGTTCATTTATGATCCGAAGTTATCTTGGGATTTCTATGCCCTCATTTTGGATGCCAAGCATGAGCAACTTGAAGGATTTTTACAGAGAGTTGTGGTCATTAAAGCTTAATGTTAATAGTTTTGATGTTCAGTTTATGTATTGTATCCTGATGGCTGGAACCAGCTGCTATGTGAGGGGCCGCAGTGAGCACTGAGCACAGAGCCTCTCACCTTAAGGGAGCCTGGGTGGTTACATCATTGCCTGCCTGCTCAGCCTTGAGACTTGGGCCCAAGCGCCAGGCCAGGCTCTCCCCAGCACCCTCCTCCTCTGCCTCCAGATCCATGTGTCCTGGCTTTTCTTTTGCCAGCATGCCAGTGTGGAGAGCGCCTCTTCCCACCAGTCCTCAGCCACCTTCTCCACGGCAGCGACCTCCGTCTCAAGTTCCGCATCCTCAGGCGCCAGCCTGTCCAGTAGCATGAACACCGCGAACAGCCTCTGTCTGGGTGGGACCCCCGCGAGTGCATCCAGCAGCAGTAGCAGGGCCGCGCCCTTGGTGACCTCAGGTATTTGCTCCAGAGGCCTTTCCTGCCCACCCCTGAGCCCCTCAAAGGTGCCTGCTTGGCGTCCCAGGAAGGCAGTGCAGGTGTCAGGAGAGTCTCAGGCCCGCCGAGTGCGCTGCGTGTTCCACTGACCTTGAGGCCCAATCTCCCCACCCCTGATGGGGATGAATTCTTCCTTGCAGGATTCCTGGCCTCTGCGTGCTTCTAGCTTTTCAGTCTTTCCTCTTTGTTCTTTCCTGGAGCCGAGTTGACATTGTGACTTGGAGGGGCCAGGGATGACTTATGGTGGGCTCCACGACTGCAGACCTAGGCTGTCTGTAGGCCCAGCAGACTATGATTTGATGGTCGCTGCTAAAACCGACTTCGAACTCAGCCTGTCCCTCTCCTGGCACTGCATGGCTTCCTTGCCCTCTTTGGAGGAGGCAGATTCTTTTTATATTTCTCTTTGCTCAGTGCAGTGGGACCTTAGGGACTGGGGGAAAGGGGCTGCTTTTGTCTGGGCCCGGAACTCTCTGACGTTGAAACAACCTCAGTGTGGTGGCCGGGCTTTCTGTCTCCCCTTCACTGCTTTGTAGAATGACCCTCTGCCTCATTCGGCCACTGCCCTTCTTTGAACCCATCTGGGGTAGCTCAGTGACTGTGCCTCCTCCTGAAGCAGCTGAGGACTCTCACTCTTTGTGGTGACCATTTCACTCCATTTGATTTTTCCCTCTATACAGGCAAAGCACCCCCAAACTTACCTCAGGGGGTGCCTCCCCTGCTGCACAACCAGTACCTCGTAGGTCCCGGAGGACTGCTTCCTGCCTACCCGGTGAGTGTATGGCGGAACTCCTGGCCTGCCCAGCTCCCCTGGCCTCGGGGGCTGGCACCTGGCAGGAACCTGGCGTTGGGCCCAGGTTGCCCACCTTGAGCTGCCCTTCCATCCCTGAGCACCCCCGTCTCTGCCCCACTGAGCCCTGGTGGTCTTCTTCCATCTAGACTCCGTGAAGGCAGGATCTGTTCCCGTAACAGCTAATCCAGATCCCATTCCCGGGTGTGTTAGAGCCCCCCAACCTTGTTTTGACTCCTAGATGGACCTGGGCTTCCCAGGGTGTGGTATGTGGTTCCTAAAATACACTTTCTGGTTCTCACACAGATCTATGGCTATGACGAGCTCCAGATGCTGCAGTCACGGCTGCCAGTGGTGAGTGGGGTATGGACTGGTCGGAGCAGAGGGTTCAGAATCTTTTACATGTCCCCCCTCTTATGGTCTTGGCTGCCACACTCTCTGGCCCTTAGGATCCTCTGCCTGAGGAACCTCTCAGCACCACTACTGAGAAAGCTGTTTTCATCTGGCGGTTGTGCCAGGCGTGACCATAGCTTTAGCACAGAGTATCCAGTGCTCATCCCTGGGAAACATGAAGGCCTTTGGGACCTGGGGCCCTGGTAGGCCATGTCCCCTGTTAAATGTTGGTCCTTATCTTCCCTCCTCCATCTTGTTTTCTCTCTCTTTTTTAAAAAGAAAAACCATATGACACAAGACATGGAGGTTGCTTACGTGGCCCTGGAGTTTTATACTGTCTTCCTCTTCCTCAGAGTACCATATAGTGTCTTTGGTCTGAGATGGCCAGTGACTGCTCTTCTGCAATCAGCTGAGTGAGTGGCTTGAGCTGATGGTCTTTAAGGTCTCTTCTGGGTCTGGCCTCCCATCTAGATTTGTGAGAATGCCTGCCCTGGGACGTCCCTGGTGGTTGCAGCCTTACTCTGAGACCAGGGTTGCCTCTTTCTTCTGACCGTTGGTGCCAGAATGCAGTGTGGGCCTTTCCTGGGATAGCCACATGAACAGAACTGTGGGGACAGAGGGGAATAGGCCCGCTCCTTGCCCTGCCCATGGGCAGGACTTCCTCCTGGGAGCCACTGTCTTCTTGCTCTGCCATTTCCCAGGGCACTTGTCAGAGAGTTGCAGGCAGTTTGGACACCACCTCTGCTGGATACAGTCTTTCCTGTTGCTGGAGGAAGAGGCTTTCTCCCTTGTGCAGTGATGCCTTCTTCCCCGTGGGTGTTGCTCCCTTCTCTGCTGCACCACAAAGAGCTGACGGAGCTGCTCTTGTTTCAGAAGAGTAGCCCTTTCCACTGGCTGGCCGTATTTCCAGAAGCAGAGGCCTAGCCTGGGAGCGGAGCGGCTTCTCCCCACTGTGCAAACCAGCAGCCCTTTAATCTGCCGGCCAAAGGCCCAAACTGCAGGAGGTGGTGCTGAGCCCCGGGATTCATTCTGCTTCAGGGGCTCTCCGTGGTCTCCACACTTATTCACAGCACTCTTTTGGCTTTTATCACTTTGTGCCTTAGAGAAAACACCCTCTGGAGCCCACCTTTTGAGATATGTTGCTCTTTCTATCCCTCGGGTTGTTTGTTCACCTCTGCTGCTTGTGAGCCTAGTTCCTGCCTGGAGAATTCTCGTGTTCTGTGAAAGTGCTCCCCCTTCTGGGCTTTCTCTGCTCCCGTCCTCAGTTGTGCAGCTCTGTGTGTTCCCAGCTCTGCCTCTTCCGGGGGTTCTAGGCTGCTATGGGTTTCCGGGAGGTTTCCTGGAGGGTGTGAGTGCCATTCCCAGCCAGGATGGCTCCTTTCTGGGATCGGGCACAGCCCAAGGGCTTTGCCTTTCCTCAGGGGCCAGGTGTGTCCAGGAGTGCGAGGCCCTGGATGGTGAGTGAGGGTCAGGTCAGACCTCCCCTCCTCCACGAAGCTCCACTGTGCTTTGCCGTCTCTGTCTCCACACTTTGTTGTATCTGCCATACTTCCCCCAAGTCCTGGGCCAGGGGTGTCCAATGTTTTGGCTTCCTTGGGCCACATTGAAAGAATAATTGTCTTGGGCCACACATAAAATACACTAACATTAAAGATAGCTGATGAGCTTAAAAAAATTGCAAACAAATTTCATGTTTTAAGAAAGACGAATTTGTGTTGGGCCACATTCAAAGCTGTCATGGGCCGTGGGTTGGACAAGCTTGTCCTAGGCCATGTCAGTGTTTTGAGAGCAGTGTAGGTGGTGACAGGCCAGTTCTGGGCTTCACCTGGGGTCCTGCTTATTCCCGTGCCTACCTGGCACTGCCCCCTGTCCCCCCTTAAACCTTTCAGGCCCCTGCACTTCTGTTGCCTCCTTTTTCAGGTCTGCTCTGTTTAGTCAGCTTTCCTAGCTGCTCTAGTCTCTCACACAGAAAAGCCAGCGAAGTTGGTTCAGCCCGAGGCATTCACACAAGCACCTGCCTGTGGTGTCAAATGGATGTGTGAGGCTTGGTCTCCAGCAGCTCTGCCTGGTGAAGCTGCAGGGTTGGCCGGTCTGTGTGCTTATGTGTTAGGCAGGCCGCCTAGTTGCACACTCTTCCGAGGGGCACCATTTACTTGGCGTTCCCTGGGACTGCTGGCTCTCAGGCATGGAGTCTGTTTCAGGAGTGTGGCGTCACCACTTCCATGTGCTGGTTCTGCTCTCCTGGGAGTCAAGCAGGGCCAGTCGCTGATCAAGCCTCCCTGGTCTCTCCTAGGACTACTATGGAATTCCCTTTGCTGCACCCACAGCGCTTGCCAGCCGAGATGGGAGCCTAGCTAATAATCCATATCCAGGTGAGTTTGCTCAATGGATGAGGAGTAGCCCGGGGCCGGCCTAGCGCGAACTCCAGGAGCTGGGAAGCAGCAACAGCAAGCTGAGAGAGGCCTCTTAGTAGCCTGTGCTGAGCTGGCAGCCAGACCTGTTCCTGTTTGCAGAAGCCAGTGTGGCCTTTCTCTGGTTGGAGGAAGGGCAGTGGCTGGAGTCAGTGCTCTTTCCTAGGTGATGTCACAAAGTTTGGCCGTGGGGACTCTGCATCCCCTGCACCCGCTACCACACCAGCTCAGCCACAGCAGAGCCAATCACAGACCCACCACACAGCCCAGCAGCCCTTCGTGAATCCTGCACTGCCACCTGGCTATAGCTACACTGGTCTTCCCTACTACACAGGCATGCCCAGTGCCTTCCAGTATGGCCCCACCATGTTTGTGAGTATTTCAGAGGGTGTGACTGTGTCTCCTGGCCTTGGGTTGCTGGCAGGTGGAAACCTGGGACCTATCTTCCAGCAGGGAGGGAGGGTTGTGATTCCACTCCGTCTTACCTGGTCTTCAGAAACTGTTCAGGCTGGGGACAAGGTCACTTTTCCCCTGCTGTGTTTAGATCCAGCATGTGTTGCACTAATGAAAACACAGGTCCCCTGTGGTTGTGGGTATGTCACCTGCTGCCTTAGGCTCTGGCAGGGGTACCTGACCAGCCTCAGCTTGCCTCTTCCTACACTAATACCTCATCTGCTTGCCCCCCCAGGTCCCTCCAGCCTCAGCCAAGCAACATGGGGTGAACCTCAGCACTCCCACACCTCCCTTCCAGCAGGCCAGTGGTTATGGCCAGCACGGCTACAGTACAGGTGAGGGGTACTTCCCAGACAGAGACACATGGGGTTAGACAGGCTTGCCTGGCTCACACTTGCCTCTTGTACCCTGCCACGCTAGGTTATGACGACCTGACCCAGGGGACAGCAGCAGGAGACTACTCCAAAGGTGGCTATGCTGGATCATCGCAGGCACCAAACAAGTCTGCAGGTTCTGGGCCTGGCAAAGGTAGTGTTTACCTCTCCTTTCCAGGATAAGGCCTGGAGTGGTGGGCTCCTGCCTGATCCCCTCTCAGGCAGGGCAACCCCTGAGTGATCCTGGAGGTGGGGAGCCTGGAGCTGGGAACAACTGCTGTGGGGAACAACTGCTTTTCCTCCTAGGAGTATCAGTGTCTTCAAGCACCACTGGTCTACCTGATATGACTGGTTCTGTCTACAATAAGACACAGGTGAGGGACAAAGGTGGGTTGGGTGTATAGGTTTTTGAGAGGTTACAGCCCAACCTGACCTTCACCATTGTCTTCTTTGCCCTGTAGACTTTTGACAAGCAGGGATTTCATGCAGGGACGCCTCCACCTTTCAGCCTGCCCTCGGTCTTGGGCTCCACTGGGCCCCTGGCCTCGGGAGCGGCCCCTGGCTATGCACCCCCACCATTCCTACACATCTTGCCAGCCCACCAGCAGCCCCACTCACAGCTGCTGCACCACCACCTTCCGCAGGATGCACAGGTGAGTACAGTGATGGAGGCAGCCACCCTACTCTGGGCCAGGGGTTCTGCTCCAGCCTTGACAGCCTTCCCTTCTCCTCTTCCTCAGAGTGGCTCGGGTCAGCGCAGCCAGCCCAGCTCCCTGCAGCCCAAGTCTCAAGCCTCCAAACCTGCCTACGGCAACTCTCCATACTGGACAAACTAAACCCAGAAGAGAGGGGTGGGCTGGGGCAAGGCTTATCCTGGGCAGGAGAGAACACACGAGCACGTATTTGGGAGCCCAGTGCCCTTTCCTAGAATTCCCGACATGTGTCAGCCATGCCTCTGTGGGGAGTCTGCCTCCCAGACTGGCTACTGTATGTAATGTATTTATGTATGTATTTGTAAATGTGATAGAAGTCTGGGGGGGAGTTGGGGGATGGCGGCAGATGTTAGCCAGGTCTGCCCTCCCCATTCAAGCCCCTTCTCCACTGTAGCAAAATAAGCACCCCCACCCCATCTGCCTTCAGGTCTTCTTCACAGCCTGCACTGCCCAGTGGGCCACTAGGGGCAGTCTCTGGAAGGGCTGGTTCAAGGCTGTTTGGGTATAGGGGTCAGGTACCAATGAAGAATCACGACTTGTCTCACTCCTTTGGAAATTGTTTTCTTTCCTGTGTAATTACTTCATACCTCTGTTTTTGAGAAACTGTTCCGTTTGTCATCTGTCATGGTCTCCTTCCACCAAATCTTCATCTGGGAATAGCAGCGGTATCCCTCCACCCAAGTATGGCCACCTGTTTGTCTTCATATAGAACAGGGGCTTCTGGTCTGGTCATGTCCCTAGAGACTTACTAGAGACTGGCTGACCATGAAAAAAAAAAAAATAATCTGAGTTATTCAGCCAGTCAGCTCCCCTTTAAAAATCTAAGGTATCTCCAAGCAACACATCTCCATTCTAGTTGTCTTGAACCACGTGGGCAACTGTTTCAGGGGTTTTCTCTTGCCCAATCCCCACCTAATAAAGTTCTGAGAGCATGCATGGTCTCTGTGTGGTGTGACTGAAGGGCAGCTCAGGGCAGAAGCCCTGGACTTCACAGGGCTAAAGGAGATCCCACATGGTCATAGTCTTCTGACACAGGCTATAAAGGCTTGAAATGGTTTTCCTTTTTACTGGACCCTCTTGGCCCAAATCACAATGGCTGTAAGGACAGCTAAACCTCCTTACAGGGCCCAGGCCATGTTGATCAAAGTTAACCTGGCTTTTCTTATAGCTCCTTAAGAGACTTAGGGATAGGGCAGTGTCCCACAGAGCCCTGTCCACTGGATACCAGGGCAGGGTAATTTCTTTTCCAAATCTCAGTGGACTTTTACAATCTGAAGCAAAGCCAAGAACTGAGAGCAGGGTTCTAGGCCTTAAGGGAGAGTATGAACAGGTATACCTGTCTTTTGCTTGTCATCAACTGAACATAATCTTGATTGGCAGTCAAAAGCTATGGTAGAACACGTGACTAGTGAGGGTGTCATGAGGTAGGCTGGTGGATCCGGGGCTACATATCTGCTCCAGAAAAGCCCAACCAACCATTCACCTTGTGTCAGGTCAGAAGCCAGGGAGTAACCAAGGGCCATAGGAAGGAGGCAGATCTCCTGTTGGCCAACCACAACTGTGCTCCAATCCAGCAGGCAGGAAGCTCAGGGCCTAGAAGTGTTGCCCAAGGTGCTACAGCCTCTCTTTTCACTCCTAAATCGCTGCTTCAGATCAGGTTAAAGGAGGAAATAAAATGGCTAGTCAGGTGATTGATTGATTGATTGTGTCAGAACCAGCCTGGGGTCACAATCTACTTTTTCTGCTTTTGGCCTCTACAATTGAGAGCGATGGTCCTGTCATCAGATGGGACCGATACTCCTATTAACCCACAGCTTGGGACCTTACCTAGAAAAAAGGTAAGTGTCTACAGGTAAAATTAGGACTTTTATTAAATAGGGTGATCTGCCTGATCCCTGCTATTAGCAGCAGTAAGTTAGGAAAACAAATGACAGTGAAAATGTTTGCCTAAGGAAAGCAGCAGAGCACCCCTCAATCCTTCACTGACCTACTTGTATCAGCTCCCGTTTTCAGAATCAAGTTTAACAAATGGCTACGTCTATAAGGAGCTTGAAGGGACTGGGGATACACCAGGGAGGTGAGTTAGTTAGAAAGGCAGATTCCCCAGTTTTGGTTTTTGTCTAATTTTTCAGCTGAGCCCCAGCGTAATCTGCAAACTTAACAGTGATAATGAGACCACCTTTTAGTTTTCTTTAACACAAGGTAAAAAAAGAAGAGGGTCATTTCATGGGGAAGTAGCAATACAGGTATTTTATTTCACATTTTATTAGTAGACAGATGGGCAGAAAAAGACAAAATAAACCACTAAAGGGGAAGTCAACACAAAATCCGTCAGATAATCTTTTCTCATAAGTTAAACTGAAGCAAAACATCTACAATTTCAGCTAAAACTATTAAAGTCAGGTGTGTCCTGCTGGTTTCAGAATAGTTGAAAATTGCATCTGAATCCTTTTAGTTGTAAATGTAAACCTTGTTTGTTTTATCAGGATGGGAGGGGTGGAGAGTTCCTTTCCAGTGGAGAGCTGCACATTTCCCCTTCCAATCAGTTTCTTACAACATGTGCCCCAAACGTAAGGAAACCAGCAAGTAAAGAAGCAATTTGCCAGGGTAAGGGAAAGAAGGTTCTACAAAAAAGTTTGACTAATAGAAAATAACTCTGGAATGATTGATAAAAGGAGAAGGGGGGAAGACTGAAAGAATCAACAGCAGAATCATATACTTCTCCACCCAGCCTCAAAATACACAGAACTGAAGAGCATCTAGTGAGGCCTCAATTAGAACTAAAAGGAATCTAAAAATGCAGGATTTTGAGTTCATGTCACATCAAATAATAAGCAAAACTGTACGTACATGGTTCCGGATTGAGCCTGAGACCTCCACTCCCAGAAGGGGGAAAAAAAATTACAAACTCAAGTATTTTCCACAGGGATGTGTTCTCAGGGACAGAGCTCTGGAACCAGCCTCTGGGTTTCGTTCAGTCAGTCTAAAATACCAGAATGTCCACCTGCTAGCAAGAGACTTACCCAGTCTTCTGGAACTGATTGTACTCATCAGAGGCAAACCCAGCCCTTGACACTTTTAACACCCCAAAGGGCTGAAAGGTACAACCTCCACTTGGCGCTCCGGCTCCCTGAGTCAATGTCTAACAGAGGCCAATAGGGCCTGATGGAACAGCTGTGCAGCAGAGCACCTCCCGCAATGCCAGGGTGCTGGGGCTGCCCTGGGAGTGAGATGCTTTAGCAAAGGGGAATGAAAGGCTTAATTTTAGGGCTCCAAGAGAATAAGACCAAGCTACTGGCTGTAAACTTGCATGGGGGTTTGGGGGCATTTTGGGGGAGGTAAATCAGCACTGTGAGAGGCTTTGGCTCCACAAGATTTGCAGGTTAATCTGGAAGCATTACTTACAAAGTATGGGGAGTAAAAAGGTAGTTCCAACATCTATGAGAGTTTGTAATCAGGTAACTTGACAATGTATTACGAAGCTGCTCTGTTCCATGGATCTGACTAAAATCACTAGATTCTGGGTGCAAGTAGCAACCCTGGCCCTGTGGAGATCACAGATTCTGGGACCAGGCTCAACAGTGTCCCCTAAGAGCCTTGCTTGTTAAACAGTCCCATTTCATACCAGACCAAACTTTAGAGGCTGGGAAGGGCTGCTGGGACCAAACTTTAGAGGCCGGGAAGGGCTGCTGGGAAGAAGTCATGTGTTT
The DNA here is from genome assembly GCF_000001405.40 of Homo sapiens. NCBI lineage: Eukaryota > Metazoa > Chordata > Mammalia > Primates > Hominidae > Homo > Homo sapiens. Next base: position 33,918,916 of record NC_000009.12, on the reverse strand, counting down.
GGGAGTTTGAAGAGTGAAAACCCTGAGATCAGAATGGAAGGAGGAGCTAAGGAAGTAAGCGTCACCTACTCTGGCCATCCTAGGATCCCTCCTGCCCCGTCCCTAATCTGCCCTTTGGTTCTTTCTGAGTTACGAGCCAAAGGAGGAGTTGACACTAGTGCCCAGGGGTCTGAAATAGGACTACAGTCAGTCCTTGCTGCATTTTCCTTCTGAAATCTGATTTTACATTATAGCGGTTTCCTCCAAATAATGCCCTCCTATGATCTGGTGCACCCCCATAACAACCAAAAATTACCTTCAAGTTCTGAAGTCTCCTGGATGGTGAAGGCTGCTGGATCTCAATATTGATTGAAGCAACACGATTGAGATCTGGAAAATCAAAGCTGCAGCAAGTGCATTGCAGGAAGATCTAGCCTTATCTGGCCTAAAAACTGCCTGCAGTCAACTCCCTCAGCCCTGCCACAATTTCTATGCATAATTCTGCTTGCACTCCACAGCCTAAGTATGTTGAAAGGAGAAAAAAAGTTCAGATCACATCCAATGAAGAAGGCGGTAACTCGTCTCACACACATCCAAGTTTTTCACTATCAGTATAAGCAGCTCGATGAAAACCGAAATCTTAACACATGCACCTAGGATTAATACTGAGTAATTAAAAGTGGCTACTTAAAAAACAAAAACAAAACGTCATGGTACGAGTGTATTTTTGATGGGAAGGCCATGCTAAATCTATAAAACAGATGTTTCCTCTCCCAACAGTGGTCACCAGTAGTTTCAACTTTTTCCCCCCAGTAGCATCAACCAAACTTAGCATAGTGATTTTTAACTCTTTGCTCCCACACGCACTCATCCCAACTTCCCCGCTTGCCCCACTCCCTGGGGGGAAATAACCCTGCCTTTAAAATAAATAGCAACCAAGTGCTCAGTTCTATGGAAAGTATGAATATTTATTTCAGGCTTTCGATCCCAATCGATTTCAAAAAACAAAGTCTGATTTCTCTCCTCAGAGCAGCTGAGGCCTCCATGTTACGATGGTTTCATGGAGATTGAAGGAGCACATTTCATCAGGCTTAGCACAAAGTCCCTGATGCCCACCATGTCCCAGCCTTAGGAAAGGAAAGAAACAGAATTCACCACCATGGGGCTGAACGAATGCACACACACTAATGTAAATGAGCAGCTAAACCTTGGCAAATTTGTTTTTTTTTTTTTTTAAAGTTTGTTTTGTGGGTTTTTTTCCATTTTCTTTTGCTACCCAGTATATGCAGCACTTGTGAACTCCCAACAGGTTCCCAGCTTTAAACACATTAAACATCTTGAAAGACTATTGAATTCTTCAAGAATCTAAAAACAGACCAAACGTGTTTTGCTGTGAACATTCTGTAGAGACGAAGTGAGGCGGGAGTTTGGGTTCATATTTTTTAAAAAAAGAATCAATATAGTGATGGAAGGGTAAAGAATGCAAGAATTCAGACATTCTGTGGAGGGTTACTCTCTCTCCATTAAAGGTCCATAAAAAGGAGCAAACTGAGATCCATAAGGGGAGTCAGCAGGAGCTGTGTGTGTTTCCCCACCCGCTGTGAATAGGTTTTTGCTGAGGGGCCATGGCCAGGTCCCCACTTGCTCCCCTCCCTTTGGCCTGAGATGGCAGGGCAGTACAGGGGCACTGAAGGAGCACGTCACGACTCCTCATTCCCAGAATCATCATCATCATAACAGTCGGCATCTTCCTCCTCCTCATCTTCATCATCAATGTCGTCATCATACAAGTCGTCGTAAAGCAAATCTGAGCTGTTGTCATTGGAAGGCACTTTAGTTTTGATGCAGTATTCCGCCAGGGTTGTGGGGACCTTCACTCCATCCTTTTCTGCTTCGGCCTTAGTGGCTGAAACTTGTTTCCTGAAGGGAGGTTGACACAGAAATGGTTTACGGTAAGTCTTTTTTTAAGACAGATTTATAATTGGCCTTAAATAATCAATATTACTTATGACTCAGCTCTCCAAACTTCAGTACCTGCCTGAAAGCATCTGACAGATACCCTGTACTACACCAAATGCTTTCAACCCACTGGGTACAATTTTGAAGTAAACTTTGACTTTTTAGGAGGGGAAATACACTGTTAATATCAAGGGAGTTTAAAGCAGTGGATCAATTATAGCCAGAATCACCTCGTCAACTGGCTGTCCTCCGATTCATGTAAGGGCCAATAGGTCGGCGACTTAAGAATCAGAACAGGTATTGACTTAGTGGGCGGAATGTCATGCTTTGTTGTTTGCATGTGTGAAGCACAGGGATAACTGCCAGAATAAGAATAGATAATAGAAGGGCTAATACGCCTCCTAGTTTCTTGGGGCTAGATCATAAAGGTTGCATATGTGAATAAAACGTCCCACTCTGGTTTAATGTGGGGTGGGGTGCTTAGGGGATTGGCTAGGGTTTTGGCCTAGTCACCTCACCACCAAACTCAAGTGCCCCAACAATTCTTAATTTAATTATCCTCTTAATTTTCACTGACAGTAAAATTCAAATGCCTATGCCAGATTCCAGTGTCTTGCACGACCCACTCTTCCCCACCCAAGACGGAGTCTTGCTCTGTCACCCAGGCTGGAGTGCAGCGGCGTGATCTCGGCCCACTGCAACCTCCATCTCCCAGGTTCAAGCAATTCTCCTGCCTCAGCCTCCCAAGTAGCTGAGATTACAGGCTCCCGCCACCCCACCGGGCTAAATTTTGTATTTTTAGTAGAGATGGGGTTTCACCATGTTGGCCAGGCTGGTCTCGAACTCCTGGCCTCATGATCTGCCCACCTCGGCTTCCCAAAGTGTTGGGATTACAGGCATGAGCCACTGCACCCGGCCACATGACCCACTCTTGTATTTTCTCCAGCCCTTCAACACATTCACCCTGGTCTTTTTTTGGCATCTCGGACACACCTTGTTGATTTTTCTGTCTGGACCAGTTGCTCTTCCCCTGCCCCACACATGCCTGGCTCCTTCCTGTCACTCAGAATCACGGCCTCAGATATTAAGGCTTAAATATCACCTTAGAGAAGGCCTGGCCTGACAACCCAATTTAAAGCAGCCATCTAGTCATTCTTTCACATTATCCTACTTAGCACTATCTAGTATTTTTTGCTTGCTCACTCTTCTGTCTCCACATATTTGAATGTGAGCGTAAATGTCTTTCTTAGTCCCATTTCCCCAGTCAGTGCCTAGCACATAGCCTGGCACATAAGAGGTGTGCAATAAATACTGATTGTATGAATGAACAAACAATAAATTGTTTCCTTCAACAATTATAAAAATTTGAGTCATCAAGACTAGACCACTCTTCCTGATCTTCCTAATGTCAATCTCTTAGTTGTGCTTGAAGCTTTTCTTCTGTTGCCTTGCTTTGAATATTGATGGTCCTGAGGCTTCTGGGCTTCAATCTCCACACTCTCAGCACTCTCCCTGGGACATCATCTCTGTTCCCATAATTTTAACCACCACTCCCTTTATGCTGACAGCTCTTGGCTTATATAAACAAATGCCTTTTGGAAGCCTCTGTCCTAATGTTCCATATGCAGAGGTAGACTGCATATGCATTTTCTACCTCTATGGACAGTTTCTCCCATTTTACTTCTCTGAATAAATGAGCATTGCTTCTTAAAATAATAAATCTCACTCCAAAGACCTATTGCTTTACAGCTTAAATATTTTTATATCTGTCCCCTCATCCCCATTACTACTACCTCAGTTTAGTCCATGTTGGTCCCCTGGCCAACTATTTGATTTTTTTTTTTTTTTTGAGACAAGGTCTCCCACTGTCACCCAGGCTAGAGCACAGTGACGCAATCTCAGCTCATTGCAACCTCTGGCTCCAGAGCTCAAGCAATCCTCCCACCTCAGACTCCCAAGTAGCTGGGATTACAGGTATAAGCCACCTCTCCTGGCTAATTTTTTTGTAGAGATGGTATTTTGCCATGTTGCCCAGGCTTGTCTCAAACTCCTGGGCTCAAGCAATCTGCCCGCCTCGGCCTCCCAAAGTCCTGGGATTACAGGCGTGAGCCACTGTGCCCAGCTGACTGTCTTTTTTTTTTTTTTCTTTTGAGACGGTGTCTTGCTTTGTTTCCCAGGCTGGAGTGCAGTGGCGCGATCTCAGCTCACTGCAACCTCTGCCTCCCGGGTTCAAGCAATTCTCTTGCCTTCAGCCTCCCGAGTAGCTGGGATTACAGGTGTGTGCCACTATGCCCAACTAACTTTTATATTTTTTGGTAGAGATGGGATTTCACCATGTTGGCCAGGTTGGTCTCGAACTCTTGACCTCAGGTGATCCACCCGCCTCAAAATGTTGGGATTACAGGTGTGAGCTACCACACCAGGCAGCCAATTCTTTTATCAGAACTCAAATAGCATCACCTCTTCCCTCCCAAAAATATTTAAGTGGTACCCCATCACTTCTTACATTAAGAACCATACTCTTATCATGACTTCAATGTCTTTGAAGACCCTGGTGCCTCTCTTGCTTAATTTTCTAATATTTCCCACATCAGAATTTACACTCAAGCATTTGTAATCCCCTTAACATGTCATGCTGTTATACTCCTGTATTTTAGCAAACATGGGTATTTTCCCTTTTTTCACCTGAAAAAGTATTGGTTATAAGGAATTATCTCTGCTAGGAAATCTATTACATTATATATTTCTCCCAGTGTATCTTGTTTAGGCTTCTATAGGTATAATACTACATGGTCATTTGTTTTCAAATGCTAATAAAGTGAGCTCCCTAAGGAGACAGGCTATGCCTTAATGAGTACCTAACACAAAGCTGTTGCTTAGTGTCAGGTACTGTACTAGGTCATTAAGGAATAGATAGAATGAGATAAACGGACCCTTAAACAAATTAAGAAATATATAGAAGTACCTTGGGAATATGTATACCTAAGCTTTCTGATCTTTCAATCCTTAGTACACTCCCACTCCTCTAAATTTCTGTAGGATCTTAATATTTCTACTAATTATCTTCAATGTTTGGTACACATCAGTCACCTAGGTGAGATATATATACACACACAGATGCCCAAACTCTGTCCTTGTAATCCCATAAAAGACAGCTATTGTTTAGGGACAGTTTAAAAGTGATCCCAATGGGCAGAAAACTTAGAACTGCTGATTTTATATTACTCAGCAGTCACCTCATGTCCTTTCCCAGCATTGTTTTAACTTTTTTCATATCACATGGTCTCAAGCCAACTAGATTTTATTCTTATTTGTATAAATGCCAATGCTTAGTCAACTCCTATGCACAGAGGAAGCTGTAACTGTATTTGGGGTCTCTATTTTAAGAAATAAAAATGTAATATCAAGGGGGGTGGAGGCCAGGCACGGTGGCTCACACCTATAATCCCAGAGCTTTGGGAGGCTGAGGCAGGAGGATCACTTGAGGCCAAGAGTTCAAGACCAGGCTGGGCAACACAGCAAGACCTCATCTCTACAAAAATAATAATAGAAATTAGCTGGGTGTGGTGGTGCATGCCTATAGTCTTAGTTACTCAGGAGGCCCAGGTGGGAGGACTGCCTGAGCCCGGGAATTTGAAGTTACCATGTAATCACACCATTGCACTCCAGCCCAGGCAACAGAGTAAGACCATGTCTGTTTCTTTAAAAAGAGGTGGAGGAGGCTGAGTGCAGTGGCTCACGCCTGTAATTCCAGCACTTTGGGAGGCCAAGGCGGGTGGATCATGAGGTCAGGAGTTCGAGACTAGCTTGGCCAACATGGTGAAACCCTGTCACTACTAAAAATCCAAAAATTAGCTGGGCATGGTGGTAGGCGCCTATAATCCCAGCTACTCGGGAGGCTGAGGCAGGAGAATTGCTTGAACCCAGGAGATAGAGGCTGCAGTGAGCCGAGATCACACCACTGCACTCCGGCCTGGATGACAGAGTAAGACTCCATCTCAAAAAGAAAAAAAAAATTAATTAGAAACAAATAAAAAAGAGGTGGAGGGTAGGGGAAGTGTAGGGTTTGTATTTATTGCAAATTTCTTGGGTACTATTATAAGAACCTGATGTCCTAAGAGATTAAAGGTTAAGCTTTTTTCCATTTTATACAGAGGAGAAAGTAAAAGACCCCAAAAATTATCTGATAAATGGTCCCATGAGTAGATTCCAAGTCCCCTGAATCTTATTCTAGGGCTCTGTTATACCATACATTAGTGTTGCTGATAATGAGGATTTCCAAACAATCCTTGCTGCTATGGTCAGGAATGCCAATAAACTGGAAGGCTTTATTTATTCAATTTTTTTTTTTTTTTGAGATGGAGTCTCGCACTGTCGCCCAGGCTGGAGTGCAGTGGTGTGATCTCAGCTCACTGCAACATTCAACTCCCGGGTTCAAGCAATTCTCCTGCCTCAGCCTCCTGAGTAGCTGGGATGACAGGTGTGCACCACCACACCTGGCTAATTTTTGTATTTTTAGTAGAGACAGGGTTTCACCATGTTGGCCAGCCGGTCTCGAACTCCTGACCTCAGGTGATCCGCCTGCCTCAGCCTCCCAAAGTGCTGGGATTACAGGCATGAGCCACCATGCCTGGCCAGAACCTAGAAGTTCTGGTTCCTAGAAAATCAGGTCTGCTACTGCCTTATCTTCTAGTGGCTGTTCTCTCGGTAAACAGCAAAGTTCTTTAGGCTCAGGCAGAAATCTTCTCTTCCCACACTATAAATCTAATAGAGGAAAATTATCCTGGAATGGACAGGATATTTAAGTTTGATTTAAACCCTTGGTTCCAGAATATATTTTGGTTTTGTATAACTTGAGGTAATAAAAAAAAAAACCTTACCTAATAATTTCAGCATATTCTTTGTCTTTTCCTTTACTGTCTCTCCATTTCCTGAACATAACTGAAGCATCGACATTGGCTGGGGAGAAGGTGTTGGGCTCATTAAGCAGTGAGATTACACTTAATAGGATAGTCCTAGAAACAGGAAAAAAGGATCAGCTATGAATACCCATATTTACAGTATTTAAAAGTATTCTGCTTTTTAAGATAGTACAATCAGATTTCAAATTCTCCCTCCCTTAAAATTTTTCTGATACAATTAAATTTAAGACCTTGGGGGAATAGAGATATAAATTTTTTATTGATAGTTTTCATAAAAGGCATTTAAGAAAAATAAAAAAAAATTTTTTTCAGCACTAAGAAACAAGCTGCTAACTGGCAGGCAAAGCAGAGGAAATCTGTGATTCTAGTATAAGGGTAATGCACAAGTGATTCTAGTATAAGGGTAATGCACAAAGCATAAAAATGAACTTGATAGAAGGCCCTGTTTCAACTGGTCACATGTTCCAACCTACAGAAAGCAGATGTCTTAGAAGCTTTCAAATACTGTTTATTTTAAAAATTACAAATTAAATGGCATGGGGGAAAAAGCTTAAAATATTTAGTTTCAAGGCAATCTTGATGTGGGAGCTGGTAAAAATGATGCTATTCTATATAACCAGGTTTTTTTTTTTTTTTTTTTTTTTTTTTTTTTTTGAGATGGAGTTTCACTCTTGTTCCCCAGGCTGGAGTGCAATGGTGTGATCGCAACCTCCACATCCCAGGTTCAAGCGATTCTCCTGCCTGCCTCAGCCTCCCGAGTAGCTGGGATTACAGGCGCCTGCCACCATGCCCTGCTAATTTTGTATTTTTAGTAGAGATGGGGTTTCTCCATGTTGGTCAGACTGGTCTTGAACTCCTGACCTCAGGTGATCCGCCCTCCTCAACCTCCCAAAGTGCTACGATTAAAAGCATGAGCCACTACGCCCGGCCGTTTTTTTGTTTTGTTTTGTTTTTTGACAGGGTCTTGCTCTGTCACCCAGGCTGGAGTGCAGTGGTGCCATCTCAGCTCACTGTAACCTCTGCCTCCTGGGTTCAAGTAATTCTCCTGTCTCAGCCTCCTGAGTAGCTGGGATTACAGGCATTGTACTACCACGCCTGGCTAATTTTTGTATTTTTAGTAGGGACAGGGTTTCGCCATGTTGGCCAGGCTGGTCATGAACTCCTGGCCTTAAGTGAACTGCCCGCCTTGGCCTCCCAAAGTGCTGGGATTACAGGCATGAGCCACCGCACCTGGCCCTATATAACCAGTTTTTATTGTGGCCTCTTAACCTGAAAAACAGTGCTACATCCAAATGTATTTTTTCCATACTTGGAAGGAAGACAGAGTAATGCAGGAGAATGGAGGAAAAGCAAAATCCTTCAAACAGAAGAACTAGAGTCTCTGAATAATAGAAATCTTTATTCAAAAGTATTTACTATGTACCTACTGTGTGCCAGAGGCACCAAGTGAGATGCTGGATGTACAATGGTGAGCAAGTTAGATGCCATCCCTGGTCTCCCATGGCTTACAAATCTAGTGGGTGTTACAAACGGCCAATTTTCATCCACAGATAAAAATTAGACATTCCAAATAATCAGGGAATAAAGTTTATGTTAGAAAGCATAATAGGGGCCAGGTGCAGTGGCTCACACCTGTAATCCCAGCACTTTGGGAGGCTGAGGCAGGCAGATCATGAGGTCAGGAGTTTGAGACCATCCTGGCCAACACGGTGAAACCCCGTCTCTACTAAAAATACAAAAATTAGCCAGGTGTGGTAGCAGGCGCCTGTAATCCCAGCTACTCGGGAGGCTGAGACAGGCAAGAGAATTGCTTGGGCACGGGAGGCGGAGGCTGCAGTGAGCTGAGATCACGCCACTGTACTCCAGCATGGGCAACAGAGCAAGACTCCATCTCAAAAATAAATAAATAAATAAAAGCGTAATAGGCTCCAAAACTGTTCCAAATTACTCCTAGGCTTTTTCCCCCTAAAAATTATGTGCATTAGGAGAAAATGGGAGGAAAAATGAAATTTCTCTATCTTTTCTCATTGATGAAAGGTTAGAGATTGTGTTGTTGTAAAATACCCTTTTGCTCTGGGCCCCAAGCCAAAAATAAAGGGAGGAAACCAGGCAATTAGATGTTTGATTTGATGAAAACTTTTCCTTAAAAAGGCGAAGAATTTCTGTTACATGATTTTATACAAGATTATGACAAAGGCATTTTCAAAGAAAACATTTCTATCTAATTAAAATCCATTGATCACACATGCTCCTATTAGGTTAAGGATAACTCCTTGGCCTTCCTCCCTCAAGAGCTTTCTGGATTTCTTCAGTAATTACATTAAAAAGAATCGAAGAAGCCCAGGCGTGGTGGCTCACGCCTGTAATGCCAGCACTTTGGGAGGCCGAGGTGGGCAGATCACAAGGTAAGGAGATCGAGACCATCCTGGCTAACATGGTGAAACCCCGTCTCTACTCCTGGGCTCAAGCAATATTCCTGCCTTGGACTCCTTAAGTACTGGGATTTCAGGTGTGAGCCACTGCTCCTAGCTGGAAAAACAGTGCTTTTAAATTTTTATTTATTGATTGTTGAGATGGGGTTTCACTCGTCGCCCAGGCTGGAGTGCAATGGTGTGATCTTGGCTCACTGCAACCTCCGCCTCCCGGGTTCAAGCGATTTCCCTGCCTCAGCCTCCCAAGTAGCTAGGATTACAGGTGCGCGCCACCACAGTTGGCCAAATTTTTTTGTATCTTTAGTAGAGATGGGTTTCACCATGTTGGCCAGGGTGGTCTCAAACTCCTGACCTTAGGTTATTCACCTGCCTCAGCCTCCCAAATTGTGGGACTACAGGCGTGAGCCACCTTGCCCAGCCAGAAAAATAGGTTTAATTGTCTAGATCAGTACTGTGTACTAATAACTTTCAATGACGACGACGATGATGATGATGATAATGTATAACCTATGCTGTGCAATACAGTAACCACTAGCCACATGCAGCTACTAAGCACTTTGAAATGTATCCTGCACAAATGAGGAAGTGAATTTTAATATTTATTTATTTATTTATTTAAAGACAGGGTCTCACTATGTTGCCCCGGCTGGAATACAGAGGCTATTTATAGGCGTGATCATAGCACACTACAGCCTCAAACTCCTGGGCTGAAGTGATAATCCTGCCTCATCCTCCCAAGTAGCTGGGACTACAGGTGCATGCCACTGTGCCAGACTAGTATTTAATTTTAATTCAAATGTAAAAAGCCTCATGTAGTTAGAGGCTACCACATTGGACAACACAGATCTAGATGAATCCTATTACTTGAATTAAGAAAAAATTCCCACAAGTACTTTCACCTAGTTGGTTTTCTTACATCTTGTGTATTAAGATGATGTGTATATTGGGAAACAAATTTTTAAATGGTAAATCATCCATATCTAACAAAATGAGAAATTCTAATTCCATGTCCTCCTAAGTTAAAAATCCAGGATGTTTTAAGAGGCACTGAGTAATACAGCAGACTAATATAGTGGTAACTGTCAACCCAGTAAGTTTTCTTCTGTCTGAAGAGCAGGATCTTTTTTCTGTCTGAAGAGCAGAATCTTTCTTTTTCTTTTTTGTATGGGGAATAATCTCCTTCTCCTACCATTGTGCCACACCTCCTATACAAACAACCTACCTACCTACAGCAGTAGACATAAGACCAAGCAAGTGCTGAAAGGATTCCATCCCTGTTGTTATGGCGATGCATTTGAGGATATGCATGTGACCTAACCTGGGCCAATCAGAAGCCTGGTGGGAACTATTCTTGATTAGATGGACACCTGTGAGAATAAGGAAAGCTGACAGCATTGGTCTCCTCAGGCAGATGGATGGATGTGAACTGGAAAAAACTAAACTGCTGAGATAATACTGTTGGAATACACAAAATTGAATTTGAATTTAAGAACTATTTCAGGCGGGGTGCGGTGGCTCACACCTGTAACCCCAGTACTTTGGGAGGCCGAGGCAGGCGGATCACCTGAGGTCGGGAGTTCAAGACCAGCCTGACCAAGCAACATGGTGAAACCCCGTCTCTACTAAAAATTAGCCAGGTGTAGTGGCACATACCTATAATCCCAGCTACTCGGAAGGCTGAGGCAGGAGAATCGTTTGAACCCGGGAGGTGGAGGTTGCAATGAGCCGAGATCGTGCCATTGCACTCCAGCCTGGGCAACAAGAGCGAAACTCTGTCTTAAAAAAAAACAACAACAAAACAAAACAAAAAACTATTTCAACTGCTAGCTCATTTTTTTGTTTAAAAAATGAGTTTAAGTGTTTAAAATCCTTATTCATTTACTGTATTTTCTCAGGAGAAACAAGAGGTTGGACTAGCAAAATAGACCCTGAGGGCCCATCATCCCCAGACTCTCGGTTCCTATAAAGAATAACTGTAGTACCCTTTGCTTTCCCCGCCCCTCCACAAGAACACACTGGTGCACCACCCTTCTCTACTCCACGTCTAGAGGAACAGATCTGATCTATCTCAATCCAGCAGAATACATGTTTAACATTTATTACAACAAAGAACAGACCTAGAGGGAATTTGGGATAAGAATGAGGGCCAGAGAGTTCTTAGTCTCTGTGGTTCATTACACAATTCCCACTGCCACCATTCAAGGAGTTAGAGATACTCCCAGAAATAAATGTGCTCCTTCTGCCCCTCTTTATGCCACAGCGAGGCAATAAGATAGGTCTTTTCAGGATAGAGGATCTAGGCCAAAAGAGAAAAATGCTAAGAAGAGAAAGGAAACACAGAAAAAAAGGACAGGCAAAAGCACCTCACTTTACAGTCTTGAGGTTCATATTTCAGATCCTTTTGCCTGCTTCAGTTATCTTTGGTCAGAGGTTATTTAGCTATCTTGTTCTGAATAAAAAATAAGTTTGTAAACAATAAAAACCCTCAAAGAAAATGAAGACCAACACATCATATATAATATATATTGCAGACTAGCCAACAGCAAATCAAGCTGTGAAGTTCTGCAGAGCTCATATGTGTTTAAAAGACAAAGCAAACTTGGGTCTCACCCGGCCCCCAGGCTCCAGTGCAGTGGCAGAATTACAGCTCACTGAAGCCTTGACCACTTGGGCTCAAGTGATCTTTGCACCTCAGCCTCCTGAGTAGCTGGGACTACAGGTGCACACTACCATGCCTGGCTAATTTTTTTGGTAGAGATGGAATCTCGTCATGTTGCCCAGGCTGGTTTTGAACTCCTGGGCTCAAGCAATCCACCTGCCTTGGCCTCCCAAGTTGCTAGGATTAAGGACATGAGCCACTGCGCCTGGCCTAAAGAAGTATTTAAGGGAAATTGGAAATTAGGATTGTATGACCCAATGCGTAATACTCCATTTGCCCATTTTCAACATGTCGATAACCCTTTCTCTGTTAGCTACTATGTCACCATAAGCATAACTTTAACAGGGTTGTGATAGCCCTAGCATCACAAATAAGACCTGGCTCGAGGGTCTGCCTGGAAACCAAGCAAGAAAAGTTCATAATTTTGAAGGATTACAGACTGGCACCTTCCCCTGGTCCCACCTCCCATGTATATATCATCCCTCCAGACAGCATGGGAGAAGTAGAAAGGGCTTATTCCTAAAAACCAAAAAATCTAAGCTTATGCCAGGTGTGGTGGCTCACAAGTATAATCCCAGCACTTTGGGAGGCCGAGGTGGGCGGATCACCTGAGGTTGGGAGTTCAAGATCAGCCCGACTAACACGGAAAAATCCTGTCTCTACTAAAAATACAAAATCAGCTGGGCATGGTGGTGCATGCCTGTAATCCCAAGTACTTGGGAGGCTGAGGCAGGAGAATTGCTTGAACCCAGGAGACGGAGTTTGCAGTGAGCTGAGATCGCACCATTGCACTCCAGCTGGGCAACAAGAGCAAAACTCCATTTCAAAACAACAACAACAACAACAACAACAGCAACAACGACGACGACGACAACAACAACAACAAAACCTGAACTTACTTCACGCCATAATCATGGGCAAGCATGCATGTATGCACATGTGCACACACACAAACACACACGCAGATTGATTTAGATATTGAGTTTTATAGACCCAGCGTAATGTGATGACAGTTGATGTGTGAAGTCCAGGTCTCTGGAGCCAAACCTAAATCCTGCATACTGTTACTACCACTCTTACTGACTCTGGGTTCTACCCTGACCTTTCTAGTTGTCCTGGGTCCTTAAAATCTCTCATTTCCACTCTATCAAAGGATGGGCCAGTAACTACAGATGACTAGTTAAAGCTCAGTCCTCATTGCATGTTTCAATGTGGGGGAGGGATTTAAAGAGGACATCATGACAAAGAATAAAGAAGCCTGTTATGATAGGGAAAACAGGGCAACTGATGGTAAAATATAGTAGCTTAACGGGTTTACATTATTATAAAGTTTCTCTTTAGGCTGCTAAAGCAACCAACAAATATAACACCTCCTTCTGTGCAGTGCTGGATCTGCTGCTGACTGATGTATCCCTGAGAATGCAAGGTAGGAATACAACTACAGTTTTTAAATGCCCAAATTATGTATCATCTGCAGAGAATGGAATTGGCAGGTTGAGGGCAGTGGGACCCCATGCACAAAAACCAAGGAAGCAAATAAATAAAACCACACTGTTCCAGAATTGGGTTTAAAAGAGCTTTAGGAACAGCATGGTTATGCCTGTTTCCCCTGACTGTGCTTACTTTGGCACCCAATGCTAGGGGTGATGTCTCTGGCTCTCTGTTCTTAAGACTAGACAGAAAAATATCCTACCCCACTTCTGAGACAGACTCTTTTATACCAAACAACAGCCTCTCTTGATTGGGTTAATAAATTTGGTTTCACGCTTTATTTTTGAAATTGAAAAAGAAAACATTATGTATGCCTCTTTCAACATAAAGCAAATCCACACCAAGACCACTTCACCATCCCAGAGCCTATAGCAGATAGTAGTTCTGGGGATGGTGTCTCACAGAAAGCAGCTGTGAACTCTATAGCAAAGTCTGAGGGCTTTGCTACTCCCACTCCCACCCTACCCTATCCCCAAAGCTCCCACATCATTCTAGACAAATCATGTATTAAGGCACATTTTGTTTCCTCCATCAGGAAGAGGCATAATGCTGTGAACTTCTAATCAAAGACGTGTGGCAACTCCCAACTCCATTCTTGCTGACAAATGCCTACTCCTTAAAACTTTCCAATTCAGGAAGAAACTCTCCCCACCACCTCCAGCCCCACCAATTTAATCCTGGGCCTCTGGGAGGAGGAGGCCTGTGGATGTTTTCTTTCAAAAGAAGTATGCTGGTTTTCCCAAGAGGTAGCAAGCTACCGAGCCTTTAGTGAACACCAGTTGGCTGATTCTCTGCATCCCTAAAATTCTTCCTTTTCAGGTTGGCTAACTCTCACTACTCACCAGATCTGATAATACAGACTGACTTAGACTCTTGAAGGTAACTGGAGTCCCTTATTCTTCAAGTTACAAAAGTGCTCCATTTGCCACTTTATGTTATAAATATGTCCATTGAGGTGCTGAACAATAGTCTTGAGTACACGTGGTTATGGAGAAGAAAACCAAATACGTGAATATGGAATCACTTTCAGATGCCAGTGAGAGGCAGCAGATAAGACTCCAAAACAGGATGAGATGAACCCTATGCCATCTCCACTGCTGTCTTACTACAGCCACCCATAAACTGGACATGGAGCCCAGAACCCTTAGACAGTTGCTGGCCCTAGATAATTTAGCAGCAGAGAGGTACAAGAAGGAAAATAGTTGCCCATTTCCACTACATCTTGTATCTTCCCTCTTAATATTTCAGTGCCATAAATGACCTGTTAGAAAATATAACAGTTTACTACTTTAAAACCTCCCTTGTCTCACAACCAAGTGAACACAGAAACAAAAGGGATAAGCGAAAGTATTCCACATCTGCTCATTAGGTAGTGCTTTCCTGACTTCCGCTCAGAGTTCTGAGCACCACCAGGTATTCCAGACAGGTGAGGTTCCAAAAAGTGTACAAAACATCCCACAGCCCCCGAAAACACCAATAAGATCAAAATGTTGAAGGACTACCCAATGATTACATAGAACTAAGTGATAAAAAGTCTAAGAAGGTAAACAATTTCCAACCCAAATACCTTGTAGAGCTGTGTGAAGATGTTAGGTGTAACTCCACATAACTAGTTGTAGTTGGGAAGCTTCTAAACAAAGCAGCATAAAAGCAGGGAAAACAATCTTGATTTGAGTATGGGGAATGTCCCTAAATTGTGGCTCAGGTGGCCTGGGGACTCAAGTGTGAGGAAACAAAATGATGCTAGTACCCAAAGTAACAAAGGCAGTTTCAGATGGGCAGATAAGTATAAAAGGAATCCTCTGCCTCCAAAAGACTGGATTACATGAGAAGTAGGCCTATTTTAAAAGAAAAAATGTTCATAATACTTTAAGCTGAGATAAGGCAAATGACATCATTTGCGTGTAAATGCAAGAGAAGTAAAGGATAAAAAGCCTGAATTCCCATGGGTGGTGGCAATACATTATCCAGCCAAGCAGCATAAAAATGCAATGAGGAAAATCTTGTTTGGGGCTTTGTATTTGAGGAAAGGGGAAGCTTATTTTCTCAAATAGGGAGAGGGTGTAAGCATTTGATTCAACGTTCAACCAGCAAAACCAAGAATCACCAGTATTATAGCTACCACTTCCTCTAATCTAGGGTTATTACTCGTCCTGAAAATCCATGCACCAGAATCATTATTAAAGTACAACTGGGGATTTTTTTGGATGCAATTTTTTCAACAAATCATCCAAAATATTTTTTAAAAACTTTTATACACATTGTCTAATTATAATGTCAAAATAATGTGCTACAATTACTTCTGAAGACGTAGCACCCTCAAACATACTCTTGAGTAATATAGAATACATAAAACTCAGACTTTTTTTTTTTTTGAGACAGCGTTTCACTCTTGTTGCCCAGGCTGGAGTGCAGTGGCACGATCCTGGCTCACCGCAACCTCCGCCTCCCAGGTTCAAGCAATTCTCCTGCCTCAGCCTCCCGAGTAGCTGGGATTACAGGCAGGTGCCACCATGCCCAGCTAATTTTGTATTTTTAGTAGAGACAGGGTTTCTTCATGTTGGTCAGGCTAGTCTTGAACTCCCGACCTCAGGTGATCTGCCCACCTTGGCCTCCCAAAGTGCTGGGATTACAGGCGTGAGCCACTGCGCCCGGCCTACAACTCAGAATTTTTAATACTAATTTAAAATTGAGTCTATCGAGATAATTCATGTATACATAATTTGCTACGTAGGACACTTTTCCCCTCAAAAAAAGAAAGCGTATTCTCAATTACAGAATATCTCAAAAACAGCTCAAAACAATTATTTTAGTTCTTTTCATGTATTTAGAACCCAAGATAAATTATGTACTACTTGAACTGGTTACGATACAGGCATCTAGCAATTATGTCTCCCTGTAGCAAAATGAAATAAATATGAGGAACTAAGAAATGTGTTTCTCTTCTAATAGATAGCAAATGACTGCTTCACATTAGACCCAAAAAATTCCTTGAAAATAATAGCTGCAACCCAAGCCAGCCAGGTAATATCCACCATTCTAGTAGGTTTACATGCATTATTCACTTAAATTCTATCAACAACCTACTGAGGTAGGTATTATTCTTGTATAGATAAGAGATTCAGAAGGCGGGTGTAGTGTGAGCACCTGTAATCCCAACACTTTGGGAGGCTGAGGCAGGGGCATCACTTGAGCCCATGGGTTTCAGACCAGCCTGGGCAACATGGTGAGACCCCATCTTTACAAAAAACTTAAAAATTAGTCCAGGTGCTTTGGGGCACACCTATAATCTGAGCATTCTGGGAGGCCAAGTGGATTGCTTGAGCCCAGTAGTTTGAGACTGGCCTGGGAAACAAAGCAAAACCCCATCTCTCTACAAAAAAAATACAAAATCTTGAGCAGACACCGTGATGCATGCCTGTGGTCCCAGCTACCCAAGAGACTAAAGTGGAAGGATTGCTCAAGCCCGGGAGGTTGAGGCTGTGCTGAGCCGTGACCGCGCCGCTTCATTCCAGCCTGGGCGACAGAGCAAGATCCTGTCTTAAAAAAAAAAAAAAAAAAAGAAATATGAGAAAAAAACATTCAGAGGGATGATGGTTGTCAAGGTGAGGTGTAAAAACACATTTATTTGAATTTAGAAAGAAAGTAACATTTTTTGTCTTAAAAAATATATTGGTAAGATATGCTGAAATCTTTAATATATCTATTTTCTCAACTCTTTCTAAATAAATTGGATGGAACAAGGTACCCAAAGGAATGAGTAACAAACATAATCAACAGTCATTTGACACATCTTGAAGAGCTTCTATTACAAGTCAGGAAGCTTCCAATTCTTCACTTTTGATAAACCTGGAGATTCTAATCAAGTTATTAGTTTTTGTATCAGTAAAAATGTTTAACAAATGATTGAATAAACAAATAAAGGGGAAGAATAGATCAATCCATGCAGAAGAATTCAAAATAATTTATATAGATACCCTGGCTTCAAGGAGGTATAGCCACCCTCTCCTTAGTTGTGGGCTATGCATATTCCTTCCAAGGAGTACAGAATGAAAAGTTCAGGAAAGAGCAACTTTACAGTGGAGAAAAGCTAAAAATATTATTTCAGGCAGGTGATGAAAGGTATCCCATCAACAGGGATAAGCCACACTGATAGTAAATACTTCAGATATGACATAATGAAAATGGCACATTACTTCTCTGGTCTTTCTCTCCCAAACCTATAACCCTAGACTAATCATGAGAAAACACATAAGAAAAATCTCAACTGGGGGACATTGCACAAAATACCTGATCAGTACCCCCCAAAATTGTCATCAAAAACAAGAAAATTTATAATCAAGAGTTGCTTAATAGCTAGGTATGGTGGCATACACCTATAGTCACAGCTACTTGGGAGGCTGAGGTGAAAGGCTCACTTGAGCCCAGGAGGTCGAGGCTGCAGTGACCTGTGATCACACCGCTGCACACCAGTCTGGGTGACGGGAAGACACTGTCTCAAAGACAAGAGACAGAGACACAGACAGAAACAGAGAGAGAGAGAGAGACAGAGACAGAGAGAGAGAGGAGTTGCCCATGAAGACATGACTATTAAATATAATGTGATGAGCAGGGCACAGTGGCTCATGCCTATAATCCCAGCGCTTTGGGAGGCCAAGTGGGGAGGACTGCTTGAGGCCAGGAGTTTGAGACCAGCTGGGCAACTTAGTGAGACCCCATCTCTACAAAAAATTTAAATACATATATGTATACACGTACATATATAGATATATATTTATATGTATGAAATATTTTGGAGCAAAACAACGACAGGTAAAAACAAAGGAAATGTGAAAGCGTATGGACTTCAGTTACTTATAATGAATTAACATTGTTTATTAACTGCAACCAATGAATGACACTAATGTTAGGTGGTAATAAAGAACCAGAGTAGAACTAGGATAAGTTAAGAGTAGGGATTCAGGCTTGAAAATCTATTCCTAAGTGAACATAGGGAAATGAGAATCATATACATTATTGTTTAGTAAATACAGCTCTTCAAAATGACGCATACATATTTCTTAAAGCTCTAGCTAAAGACAAAGAAACTGAATATAAGAAAGATGATTTTTTACATGTTAAAAGACAATACATAATTTTATTTTACTAGGAGCAAAGACAATAAGGAGATTAAGAATAACTCCAAAACCAGATTCCTCCTTACCTCACATTCTGAGTAGGATTCCACCTTTCAGAAGGCAGTTCTCCACTCTGTGGGTCATCTACAGGCGGATGAAGAATCGAAATGCATACATCTCCATTCTACAAGACACAAACATTACATTCAGTAAATACTCAAAAAGTGATGTACAAAAAGGGACATCGGTTCTAAAGTTTCCTTTATTCCTAGAAACTGTTTCTTCATCAAAGGAGAAAACAATTCTGCTTTTTATGTTCAACATCAAAGATAAATAATAATTAAGCATTTTAAAAGTATTTATTTTGACCAATCTCCAAGGTATATTTTCTAGTGAGAAGACTTACTATTCCTATAGAACAATCCTGATGAAACAAACGATCCCTATGTTTACTTAGGAACATTAAAATATAATATTTATTTCGACCAATCTCCAAGGTATATTTTCTAGTGAGAAGACTTACTATTCCTATAGTACAATCCTGATAAAAAATTGACTGGGGCTGGGCGCGGTGTCTCACGCCTGTAATCCTAGCACTTGGGAGGCCAAGGCGGGTGGACCACCTGAGGTCAGGAGTTTGAGACCAGCATGGCGAAACCCCATCTCTACCAAAAATACAAAAATTGGCTGGGCGCGGTGGCTCACGCCTGTAATCCCAGCACTTTGGGAGACCAAGGTGGGCAGATCACAAGGTCAGGAGTTCGAGACCAGCCTGAACAACATGGTGAAACCCCGTCTCTACTAAAAATACAAAAATTAGCCGGGCGTGGTAGCACTCCCCTGTAATCCCAGCTACTCAGGAGGCTGGGGCAGGAGAATCGCTTGAACCTGGGAGGTGGGGGTTGCAGGGAGCCAAGATCGCGCCAATGCACTCCATCCTGGGCAACAGAGGGAGACTCCGTCTCAAAAAAACAAAAACAAAAGACAAAAATTAGCCGGGCGTGGTGGCACGCGCCTGTAATCCCAGCTACTCAGGAGGCTGAGGCAGGAGAATCGCTTGAACCCGGGAGGCGGAGGTTGCAGTGAGCCAAGATAGTGCTCCGGCCTGGGCAACACAATGAGACTCCATCTTAAAAAAAAAAAGACAAACATAATAAATCAAGACTCAATTGTCTTAGAAGCAGCCAAATATATATCCCTTTGTTTTCAGATATATCTGTGTACCTAGAGTACATAAAAAGGAAGAAAAAATATCTAACCTTGCTTAATATCTACTCAGATAGATGCTATGTCAATAACCATGACTTATATAAACCAAAAATATGCCTCGCAGCAAATGTTAACATCCTCAAGGTATGGTTAGAATGACTTCCCACTATGGCTATTATATTTTGCTTCATAAACTTAACACAACTTAATCCACAAGTACATTTAGGTTAATTCATACACATATGGATTGCCCACCATGTGCAATACAGAACACAATTCAATAGAAAAGATAAAGTTAGGTAAAATACAGTGACTTATCTCTTGGACTTAGCCTAACATGGAAGGTAAGATTTATTTATTTATTTAACTTCTTTCTGTCTTTAGAGATGGGAGTCTCACTATGTTACCTAGGCTGTAGTGCAGTGATTATGCATAAGACAACCATGGTGCACTGCAGCCACTAACTCCTGGCCTCAAGTGATCCTCACACCTCAGTAGTCCCATAGCTGGGACTCTAGGGTGTGCTACCACACACGACTTAAGATTTATATTTTTAAAAAACTGGAGGTATAACTATATAAAGTGCAAAAATCTTACATATACAACCCAAATTTAGACACATAGAAACTATATGAATATATATGTAACCATTATCAATATAAAATATTTTTAAAATAAAATTAATACAAAATATTATATTCTAACACACTGCCTTATGGTTAGATACCATAAGGCATGTAAAAAGTTACTACAGATAAAAGAAGAGAGAGGCCAGGCATGGTGGCTCACATCTGTAATCCCAGCACTTTGGGAGGCTGAGGCAGGCAGAGCACAAGGTCAAGAGTTTAAGACCAGCCTGGCCAGTATGATGAAACCCCATCTCTACTAAAAATACAAAAATTAACTGGGCGTGGTGGCACCTGTAATCGCAGCTACTCAGGAGGCTGAGGCAGGAGAATCCCTTGAACCCGGGAGGCAGAGGTTACAGTGAGCTGAGATCACGCCACTGCACTCCAGCCTGGGCGGCAGAGCGAGACTCCATCTCAAAACAAAAACAAAAAACAAAAAGAAGAGAGCCGGGCGTGGTGGCTCACGCCTGTAACCTCAGCACTTTGGGAAGCCAAGGCGGGCAGATCACCTGAGGTCAGGAGTTCGAGACCAGCCTGACTAACATGGAGAAAACCCATCTCTACTAAAAATACAAAATTAGCCAGGCGTGGTGGTGCATGCCTGTAATCCTAGCTACTCGAGAGGCTGAGGCAGGAGAATCACTTGAACCTGGGAGGTGGAGGTTGTGGTGAACCGAGATTGTGCCATTGCACTCCAGCTTGGGCAACAAGACCAAAACTCCATCTCAAAAAAAAAAAAAAAAAGAAAAAAGAAAAGAGAAACTTGGTATATTTGGGCAGTGAATGCGTGGGAGGTGGGGTGGAAGATAAAAGGCTTTGTTGTTGAGGAAGCTTTGAGATGAGCTTTCCTTTAATAATAACAATTTAAACAACCTATGGGAAATGTAGAAATGAGTTTTTCTGGCCAGGTGCAGTGGCTCACGCCTGTAATCCCAGCACTTTGGGAGGCCGAGGCAGGCAGATCACTTGAGGTCAGGAGTTCGAGACCAGCCTGACCAATATGATGAAACCCCATCTCTACTAAAAATACAAAAATTAGCCGGGCGTGGTGGCACGCACCTGTAATCCCAGCTACTCGGGAGGCTGAGACAGGAGAATCACTTGAACCCGGGAGGCGGAGGTTGCGGTGAGCCGAGATCACACCATTGTACTCCAGCCTGGGCAACAAAAGCGAAACTCTTGTCTCCAAAAAAAAAAAAGAGTTTTTCTGAATCCCAGCACTTTGGGAGGCCGAGGCCAGCGGATCACGAGGTCAGGAGATTGAGACCATCCTGGCTAACATGGTGAAACCCCGTCTCTACTAAAAATACAAAAAATTAGCCGGGCGTGGTGGCAGACGCCTGTAGTCCCAGCTACTCAGGAGGCTGAGGCAAGAGAATGGCGTGAACCCAGGAGGCGGAGCTTGCAGTGAGCTGAGATCGCGCCACTGCACTCCAGCCTGGGCAACAGAGCGAGACTCCGTCTCAAAAAAAAAAAAAAAAAAAAAAAAAAAAAATTAGGCCACAGAAGTATGCTACTTGGTTCAGAGCGTAATATATATTAAAAAAACAAACAACAAAAAAAAAACACAAAAAACACAACCTTCTTAGTAGTGGAATGAACTCAACAGATTTGCATTTCAAAATGACATATTAGAAAATAGGCATCCAAATTGACACAGACAATGGATTTGACAAAATCTAACACTCTTTCATGATAAAAACAATCAGAAAGCTATGAATAGATGGGAATTATCTTAACATGATAAAGGGCATTTATTAAAAACCCTCAGTTGCTAGGCACGGTGGCTCACGCCTGTAACCCCAGGACTTTGGAAGGCCAAGGCGGGCAGATCACCAGGTCAGGAGATCAAGACCATCCTGGCTAACACGGTGAAACCCCGTCTCTACTAAAAATACAAAAAAAAAAAAAAATAGCCAGTCATGACACAGCGCCGGTAGTCCCAGCTACTCAGAAGGCTGAGGCAGGAGAATCGCTTGAACCCAGGAGGCGGAGGTTGCAGTGAGCCGAGATCGTATTACTGCACTCCAGACTGGGCGACAGAGTAAGACTCCATCTAAAAAAAAAAAACCAAAAAAACCCACAGCTAACATCATACTCAGTGGTGACAATGGTGAAAGACTAAAAGCTTTACTCCTAAGATCGGGAGCTTGACAAGGATGCCTGCTTTCACCACTGCTATTTAACATTGTACTGGAAATTTCTAACCAGAGTATTTAGACAAGGAAAAGAAAAAAAGGAAACTGAGTTGAAGGGGAGAAAAGCATCTTTATACACAGATGACATGATCCTATATAAGAAAGCTACAAAAGCTAATAAATTCAGGAAAGTTATAGGATACATAATCAAAACTCAGTCACTTTTATTTTTATAAACTAGCAAAAATAACCTAATAGGATATTATGAAAACAATTCCATTGATAATTGTCATTTAAAAGAATAGATCTGGCCAGGCGGGGTGGCTCACACCTGTAATCCCAGCACTTTGGGGGGCCGGGGCTGGCAGATCACTTGAGGCCAGGAGTTCGAGACCATCCTGGCCAACATGGTGAAACCCCGTCTCTACAAAAATACAAAAAATTTGCCAGACATGGTGGCTCATGCCTGTAATCCCAGCTGCTCAGCAGGTTGAGGCAGGAGAATCGCTTGAACCCGGGAGGCAGAGGTTACAGTGAGCTGAGTACGAGCCACTGCACTCCAGCCTAGGCAACAGAGCGAGACTCCATCTCAAAAAAAAAAAAAAAAAAAAAAGAGAGAGAGAGAGAATAAATCTAGTCATGGAAGGGAAAAGACTTGTACGTTGAAAACTACAAAACGGTGCTCAAAGAAATTTTAAAAGATCTTAAAAAATGTAGAGTTACGATGTTAAGATGGTTCTATTCCCCAGTTTGATCTACAGGTTCATTCAACACAATCCTTATCAAATCCTACCTTCCCATTTTACAGTTATTGACAAGGTAATCCTAAAATTTATATAGCAATTTAAGGGACCCAAAGAGCCAAAACAATGTGGAAAAAGCAAAAGTTGGAGGATTCACACTTCCTAATTTTAAAAATTACTACAAAGACAACCATGTTGTTCAGTACTGGCATAATGACAGACATATAAACCAATGGAATATAATTTACAATTGAGAGTCCAGAAATAATCCAATACATTGATGGCCAATTGATTTTGACAAGGATGCCAAGTCCATTCAATGGGGAAAAAACAGACTCTTCAATAAATGGTAGTGGGACAACTGGATTTCTACAAACAAAAAAATGCAACTGAACTCCTACCTCATGTCATATACAAAAATTAACTGAAAATAGATCAAAGACTTGGAAATAACTGCACTTCATTAAAATGGAAAACTTTTATGCATCTAAAGGACATTATCAAGAAAGTGAAAAGGCAACCTATAGAATGGGAGAAAACATTTGCAAATCATATATCTGATAAAGGTTTAATATGTATAATATATAAGGAATTCCTAAAACTCAGTAACAAAAAGATATCCATTTCAATAATAGGGAAGGCCAGGTACAGTGGCTCATGCCTGTAATTCCACCACTGTGGGAGGCTGAGCGGGGAGGACTGCTTGAGGCCAGGAGTTCCAGACCAGCCTGGGTGACATAAAGAGACAAGGTCTCACTTTGTCTCTCAGGCTGGAGTGCAGTGGTGCAATCTCAGCTCACTGCAGCCTCTACCTCCCGGGTTCAAGTGATCCTTCCACTTCAGCCTCCCAAGTACCTGGGACCACAGATAACAGCCAGCAAACCTGGACAATTTTAAAATTTTTTTTATAGTGATGGAGTTGCGCTGTTACTCAGGATTGTCCTGACTTCTGAGCTCAAGCAATCCTTCTACCTTGGCCACACAAACTGCTGAGATTACAGGTGTGAGCCACCACATGTGGCCCCCCCCAAAATTTTACTAGTCAGGTGTAGTGGCACACACTTGTAGTCCCAGCTACTTGGGAGGTGGATGTGGGAGGACTGCTTGGGTCTAGGAGTTTGAGGCTGCAGTGAGCCATGACTGGGCCACTCCAGCCTGGGCAACAGAGCAAGACCCCATTCCCCAAAAATAAATGAAAAATAAAAAATGAGCTAGGACAGACATTTCTCCAAAGAAGGTATACAAATGGCCAATAAGCACATGAAAAGATGCTCAACATAAGCCATGTGGGTAATGCAAAGCAAAACCACAATGAGCTACCACTTTACACCCACTTAGGATAGCTATATTTTGTCCTTTTTTTTTAAATATAGAGATGGGGATCTTGCTATGTTGCCCAGGCTGGTCTCAAACTCCTAGCCTCAAGCAATCCTCCTGCCTTGGCCTTTAAAAGTGCTGAAATTACAGATGTGAGCCACTGCACCTAGCCTTTTTTAAAGAAAAGGAAAATAACAAGTGTTGGTAAGGATGTAAAGAAACTGGAACACACACACACTGCTGGTGGGAATGTAAACAGTTCAGCTGCTATGAGAAAAAATTTGGCAGTCCATTTAAAAGATGGCTGGGCACAGTGGCTCACATGCCTGTAATCCCAGCACTAACAGGAAAATGGGTTTAAAAAAAAAGAAAAAAGAAGGAAGAAAAAGTCAGCTGGGCACAGTGGCTCACACCTGTAATCCCAGCATTTGGGAGGCCAAGGCAGGTGAATCACTTGATGCCAGGAGTTCTAGATCAGCCTGGCCAACATGGCAAAATCCCGTCTCTACTAAAAATACAAAAAATAGCTGGGCGTGGTGGTGCACACCTGTAATCCCAGCTACTTGGGTGGTTGAGGCACGAGAATAGCTTGGGGCCAGGAGCAGAGGTTGCAGTGAACTGAAATCCTGACTGCATCCCAGCCTGGGCAACAGAGTGAGACTCTGTCTCAAAAAATAAATAAATAAATAAATAAAAAGTTAAACATAGAATTCCCATTTAACCCCACAATTCCACTCCTAGGTATGTAACCCAAAGAACTGAAAACAGGTACTCAAAAACTACATGCACATGCATGTTCAGAGCAGCACTATTCACATATACAAAAGGGAGAAACAATCCAAATGTGTCCATCAAAAGATAAATGTAGAAACAAATTGTGGTATATCTATATAATGCAATATTCTTCAGCCATGAAGAGGAATGAAGTACTGATACATACTACAAGGTGGATGAATCTCCAAAATATTGTGCTGAGTGAAACAAGCCAGACACAAAATGTCACATACTATATGACGCTATTTATACTAAATATCTGCAATATGTAAATCTATAGAGACAGCAGATGAGTGGTTGCCAGAGATTGAGGGAACATGGGAACGGAGAGAAATTACTTCATATGTAGTGTATTTTAAGTTGGAGTGATGGAAACGCTTTACCACTACATAGAGGTATTAATAGTTGTACAACATTATGAACATACTAAATGTTATTGAATTGATTATTTATTTACTTATTTATTTATGAATGAAGGATACAGTCTTGCTCTGTCACCCAGGCTGGTGCAGTAGCATGATTATAGCTCACTGAAACTTCGAACTCTTGGGCTCAAGGGATCTCCCTGCAAATTGTTTACTTTAAATGGTTAATTTTATGTATGTGAATTTCATCTCAATAAATTCTTTTTTTTTTAATAAGGAAGTTATTGGACTCTAGAATGGGGATTCTAAAAGATAAAATGAAGAATTATCTAGCCTACACCCCATCCAAATCCAATTAAATAAAAATTTCCAGGATTCTTTTTAATAACTTCTCCACATGATTCTGATATATGGCCAAATTTGGGCATGTCAATACTTAGGAAACCTTTTCCCTATATCTTAAAATGTTAAGAGAAAATGGATAAGATCTGTAAATCCAAGAATTACATAAATATGCATAAAATCCTGCTTGTGACAAGTTATTTACAAACCAGAGCTCAGCTCTGAAAAGTACAAATTTAGTGGCCTAAATACTAATATATTCTAAATGATGCCTAATGTACCATATAGATAAACCTATAAATGTATAACCCCATAGAGGAACTTATAAAAAGCTCCATACTGTGTTCTACAACACACTATTAATAAAATAATCAGCAATTTTTTTCTCTGAACTTTCCCCTCAATTTTGTAATGAACCCAAAACTGCTCTAAAAATTAATGTCTATTATAAAAAATGTTTAGGTACTAATGAACAGTGAAATTCTATGTGTTGCCTTATCTGTGAAGTCTGTAGTAAAGAAAGTGTTATATGAACTCTCATTGTAATACAGTTTGTGAAAAATATGGTGCTCATTAGTTGTCTACTTTTTAACAATATGACCAGAATGTAACCAGTAACATATATATTAAGGCTCACTAAACACAGTGCAAAACAGAAAGGAAATAGATTGTGCAGTACCATCACTGATGACAAATTCGCAAAGCAGAAAGGAAATAGATTGTGCAGCACAATCACTGATGACAAATTCCTATCAAATTTCCTTAGTTTTCCTAGTTCTCCATTGATACTAATGAATTTCACAAATATGGTAATGATGAAAATATAAATATATATATGCACACACACATACATATACACAGTTCACTGCAGCCTCGACCTTCTAGGCTCAAGTGACCCTCCCACCTCAGCCTTCCAAGTAGCTGGGACTACAGGCATGTGCCACTACGCCTGGTGAACTTGCCTCAGCCTCCCAAAGTGCTGGGATTATAGGCATAAGCCACTGTGCCCAGCCAACAACAACAGAAAGTTTTGCAGCTTTAACTCAAGGAGAAGACAATTTTAAAATAAATCCACTCATGTAACACAACAGTTATTTACAACTTTTGGGGGCTGCAGTAATATATCTATACATTTATTTAATAAACTGTGACCAAAGCGCTTGTCTTTTGATTTATTTATTTATTTATTTTTTGAGACAGGAGTCTCACTCTGTTGCCCAGGCTGGAGTGCAGTGGTGCAATCTTGGCTCACTGCAACCTCTGCCTCCTGGGTTCAAGCGATTCTCATGCCTCAGCCTCCCAAGCAACTGGGATTACAGGTGTGTGCCACCATGCCCAGCTAATTTTTTCTATTTTTAGTAGAGGTGGGATTTCACTGAGTTGGCCAGGCTAGTCCTGAACTCCTGGCCTCAAGTGGTCCGCCTACCTCGGCCTCCCAAAGTGTTAGGATTACAGGCGTAAGCCACCACACCTGACCACACCTGTCTTTTTAAAAACATAAGAGCTGGGTGTGGTGGCTCACTCCTGTAATCCCAGCACTTTGGGAGGCCGAGGCAGGTGGATCACGAAGTCAGAAGTTCGAGACCAGCCTGGCCAAGATGTAAAACGGCGTCTCTACTAAAAATACAAAAATTAGCCGGGCAGGCACCTGTAATCCCAGCTACTCAGAAGGCTGAGGCAGGAGAATAGCTTGAACCCGGGAGGCGGAGGTTGCAGTGAGCCAAGATTGCACCATTGCACTCTAGCCTGGGTGACAGAGCAAGACTCCATCTCAAAAAAAAAAAACAAAAAAACACAACAACAACAAAAAACATGACATAAGAAACTATTTTTGGCCAGATGGGGTCTCTAGATCTCTATTACCACAAATACCAACACTGGTCCTCAAAAATTTCAATTCTGATACTATTTCCATACTGCTATGAAGGTTAATAGTCACGTGAGAAGAGTTTCTTATGATTCCTTTGACAACATCAAATTTAATTCCTAAATATGATTTGTCACTTCTTCCCCCAACCACCCCGTCCCTGCAAGACAGAGTCTTGCTCTGTCGCCCAGGCTGGAGTACAGTGGCATGATCTCAGCTCACTGCAACCTCTGCCTCCTGGGTTCAAGCAATTCTCTTGCCTCAGCCTCCTGAGTAGCTGGGATTACAGGCACCTGCCACTGCGCCTGGCTAATTTTTGTATTTTTAGTGGAGACGGAGTTCCACCATGTTGGCCAGGCTGGTCTCAAACTCCTGACCTCATGTTCTGCCTGCCTTGGCCTCCCAAAGTGCTGGGACTACAGGCGTGAGCCACCGAGCCCGGCCTTAGCTCGATCTCAGCTCACTGCAACCTCTGCCTCCCGGGTTCAAGCCGATTCTCCTGCCTTATCCTGCTGAGTAGCTGGGATTACAGGCGCGTGCCACCACACCCAGCTGATGTTTGTATTTTTAGTAAAGACGGGGTTTCACCATGTTGACCAGGCTGGTCTTGAACTCCTCAACTCAGCCTTCCAAAGTGCTGGGATTATAGGGTGAGCCACTGCGCCCGGCCTATCACTTCTTTAAAAACAAAACATTTGTGTGTGAAAAATATCTACACATTTATGGGATATGCATGCATTTTATTGTAGAAAAATTCATTATGAATATGGAAAAAATTTTATATCATGATCTAATGGTATCTCTTGAAAGAACTAAATAGCCTATGTACTGAAAAAAAAGTGGAAAGGGGAGTGTAATTACCTACCTACACTTCTTTCCTGTAGAGCTTTGACTCCTTTATCCTATTTTTCTGTTTCTTTTTTGAGAGGTGTTTGGGAATTAGATAACTGAGATGGAAATAGTATGTATATGGCTTTAAGAGCAATTAACTCTCTGCTGGGTGCGGTGGCTCACGCCTGTAACCCCAGCACTTTGGGAGGCCGAGGTGGGAGGATCACAATCAGGAGTTAGAGACCAGCCTGACCAATATGGTGAAACACTGTCTCTACTAAAAATACAAAACTTAGCTGGGTGTGGTGGTGCACACCTGTAGTCCCAGCTACTCAGGAGGCTGGGGCAAAAGAATCCTTGAAGGGAGGCAGAAGTTGCAGTGAGCTGAAATCATGCCACCACACTCCAGCCTGGGTGACAGAACGAGACTCCATCTCAAAAACACAAAAGTAATTAGCTCTCAATTGCAAGACAAAAGTTTGCTCCTTCTCACTTCTCTCTTGCTATCTAAAATCTATATATACACCACGTAACTGTAAAGGCAAAAACCTTTAATTATTAGACAGGGACATTGTTATGGTCTGAATTTTGGTGTCACCCATGAATGGGATTAGCACCCTTATGAAAGAGGCAAGAGAGGGCCGGGTGCGGTGGCTCACGCCTGTAATCCCAGCACCTTGGGAGGCCAAGGTGGGCAGATCATGAGGCCAGGCAATCGAGACCATCCTGGCTAACACGGTGAAACCCTGTCTCTACTAAAAATAAAAAAAAAGAAAGAGGCAAGAGAGAACTGCCTTGCCTCTTCTCCCATAAAGATGCAACAAAACAGGCTTGAAAAACAAGCCCTCAACAGACCAAATGTGCTGGTGGCTTGGTCTTGGAATTCCCAGCCTCCAGAATTGTGAGCAATAAATTTCTGTTGTTAATATATTATCCAGTCTAAGCAAATGTACTAAGACAGACACCAAAATACTGCTGTGCGTACTGAACTCAGTTTGAACTTAGGAAACAATGAATTATTTCTACAGACTCTTTCCTACAAAAGGAAGATAATGTTGTTACACAGAACAGTGTAGTCACTATTGTTTATTTATATTATGTCAAATATTAAACAATATTTAGAAAGCTTATTTCTAAAAAGAAAACTATATATCATTTCAGTACCAGTCTGTTCTGTCTGAAAAAGAAAAATTAAGATATCTTACATAAGAAACAGACTGTGGAAAATGACACAGCTGCCCCAATGTGCTCATTTATACAGAATGAACTCCAAATTCAAGACCCTAGAGCGAGTTCTCCATTTCTTGCCTAAAAGCAATTTAAAGGTGGCCGGGCATGGTGGCTTACCCTGTAATCCCAGCACTTTGGGAGGCCAAGGCAGGTGGATTACTTGGGGTCAGAAGTTCGAGGCCACTCTGGCCGACATGGTGAAACACTGTCTCTGCTAAAAATACAAAAATTAGCCAGGTGTGGTCGTGCACACCTGTAGTCCCAGCTACCCAAGAAGCTGAGACAGGAGAATCGCTTGAACCCAGGAGGTGGAGGTTCAGTTAGCTGAAATCGCACCACTGCACTCCAGCCTGGGTGACAGAGATTCCATCTCAAATAACAAATAAATAAATAAAATAAAAGTAATTTAAAGGTGATGTTAGCTCAGTTTCTGGAGCAAAGGTACTTCCAACATCCACAGGGCCAAAAAAAAGAACTGATGCATGACTAAGATGGCAAGACTCTAAAGCAATTTCAATGCTTGGGATGCTGCTACGAAAAAATGAGACCACTGCAAAACCATATTGCAAATAAAAGATTACAGAATTTTTTTTTGTTTGTTTTTTTGTTTTTTGAAATGGACAGAGCTGGCAGGCAGAAAATAAGTAAAGACATAGCTGGACTCAGCAACACCATTCTTCAAGTGTATATAATGAGCATTATAGACTACTACACTCGTAACTGCAGATTACACATTGTTCTTGAGTTCACATGGAACTTTCATGAAGATATACCACATTCTGGGCCATAAGGCACATACTGACAAATTTTTAAAAATAGAAATCATACAATGTCTGCTTTCAGATCACAACGGAATTTAACTGGAAGTTCCTAACAGAAAGATACCTGCAAAATCCCCAAAACATTTGGAGATTTAAAAACACACTTTTAGAATAGTAGGCCAGGCGCGGTGGCTCACGCCTGTAATCCCGGCACTTTGGGAGGCCGAGGTGGGTGGATCACGAGGTCAGGAATTCAAGAACAGCCTGGCCAACATGGTGAAACCCCATCTCTACTAAAAATACAAAAATTAGCTGGGCATGGTGGCGCATGCCTGTAATCCCAGCTACTCGGAAGGCTGAAGCAGGAGAACTGCTTGAACTGGGAGCCGGAAAGCAGAGGTAGCAGTGAGCGAGATTGCGCCACTGCACTCCAGCCTGGGCTACAGAGCGAGACTGTCTCAAAAACAAACAAACAAACAAACAAACAAACAAACAAACAAACAAAAAAGCACACTTATAGAATAGTGAAGAGTAGCCTCAAAGGAAAAAAACTAGCGGGCCCTCATATATCAACCTGAGAAACAGAATGCATTATTCTAGTATCCTTATGGATTAGCCCAAAGCTAAGTACGTTTCATCAACAAAGCTAGAAATGCTTCCCCCAGGCATGTGCACTTGTCTAGTACAAGAACCTCACCTTGAATTTATTCCAAAAGAGCCTCCCAAATGTTCAGCAGCAATTCCTAAAAGGAGGCCAGTCCAAATGTAATGGGATAAATCCCGCTCCCCCTACCAAAAGCTGAATCTCTCACCCATAGGAACAGGTGACCCTTGCTGTGAAGTTAGAGGATAGGCACACAAATAAATTTATATTACATTATCTACTAAATTTTTAAATGCACATGTTAAAGACATGTGTATTATAACCCTAGCAATGAACAGCAAAAGTCTAAAGCCCAAATCCTTTACTTTATCCTTTATCCTGTAGAATATACACAGGATATTATAAAACTACACTAATGTTAAATAATTAATCCAGAAACTGTTAACTGAAGTGCAAAATCATTAATATTTCTCTATGGCTACAAAAGCCTAAGTATCAAAGTGTGCTGAGATAGGCTATTTTAAAGTACTGATTTAAAAAAAAAAATCTTCAGAGAAATTTATGATGGATGTCTCCTTACCTCATAAATGTTGGGGTGCCACATTTTGGTCAAGAATCTGAAGGTAGGTGGTGAATAGGGGTAGTCAATAGGAAATTTAATATGCGCCTGAAAAGAAAAAAAATGAAATGCTAATAAATGAGACTATAACTTATTCATCTGCCTAATAATTCACCCTACTACACGCCACAGAAACAAAGCTCCTTTCATAGAGTAAACTCTTGAGATTAAAGTAGCTCAGACATACTTTGTTATCCCCAGTGCCAGGGTCATTAGTAAGTTCTTACAGCACCCCTTCAAATATTTATAAAAGCCTTTTTTTTTTTTTTTTTTTTAAGACGGAGTCTCACTCTGTCAGCAGGCTGGAGTGCAGTGACGTGACCTCAGCTCACTGCAACCTCCACCTCCCAGGTCCAAGCGATTCTCCTGCCTCAGCCTCCCGAGTAGCTGGGACTACAGGTGCACGCCACCACGTCCGGCTAATTTTTGTATTTTTAGTAGAGACGGGGTTTCACCATGTTGGCCAGGATGGTCTCAATCTCTTGACCTTGTGATCCACCTGCCTCGGCCTCCCAAAGTGCTGGGATTACAGGCGTGAGCCACCGTGCCCTGCCCCTATAAAAGGCTATTTTAAGTCACCAAAACTCACACTCACTCACATACACAAACATACATAAATATAATTTTAACTTGCCTCACAAGTGAAAAACAGTACTCTGTACATTTTATTTTTATAACAAAATAATCTAATTTTAGAGTACACAATATGGAACAACGGTATTTTTCTTTTTACTCACATAATTTAACTGTCATTCTATCACCCAGAAATAATAAATGCTGACATTGCTGATTTCCCTTACAAAACGTATTTTTAAAAACTTCAACATACTGTATTTTGTATTCTGCTTTTTTCACCTGTATCACATTGTAAACATTTTTTTTACACCATAAAATATTCTCTTTACATGGATGACTGACAGTATCTGCATTATACTCCATCAAATGTATACCTACATGAACCATTTTATAAAACTATTTCCTTATTTTGGGCATTTGGGTTGTTTCTCACACCTTTGCTGTTACAAATCCTGCTGCAGTGAACGTCCTTTGCAGTATCCCCGTATTTTATATATGAAGAAATCCAGAAAACCTGAAAAGTTCTCTCTTCCACAAAAGCAATGGGAAAATTGCCAAAAATTATAAGCATCATTTTCAGAATTCCAGAAAATAACCAGAGGCTTGCAACAATTCAAGGAGTAGATATTTAAAGAAAATGGCTGACATTCAGTAAGAACATCAAGCTACGTGATTTTAACTTACCCTAATCCAATCTCCTATACTCTAGCTGTGCAGCAGCCTTAAAACACATTCAAAGTAAAAACCAAGGAAGCTGACAGGCCCTGGAGAGGATAGAATGGGCTGGCATTTCGCCAAAGCCTTACTCCCAGAGAATTGTCATTAAGTTTACTTTTCTAATGGTTCCCTAGAAAACTCCACTTGCAAGGCTGTCTACATATGATTGGATTTGGAGCTTGGCCAATATGAAAACATTTTCCCTGGCAGCTTTGTTGAAAACAATGGCAGGCAACTATTTAATCTTAAAGGTACCTGAGGCAGTGGAAAATACAAAACAGACTAACCAAAAACGTTAAGGAAAAGCTGGGCTGGGCTAAGAGTTGTCCATTATGGTTCTGAAAAGCTCTGACAAATTATTGTGAGTCTATAATACCATGACAATGTGTAGAGCTATGCACATGCCCAGCACTATGTGCATGCTCAGGAAAGCCCTAAGAAGGCCCTAACTTTATACCTCTGGCTTAACTTGAGAATGTATACAACAAGAAAGTAAAGAGTTTGCAAATGCCTGTCTGAATTAAGTTGAAGACATGCAATGACACATACGCAGAGCCTCTCTACAAATTCCAGCTAACTAACTGGTTCTAGAAAACCAAGGAAATCTCTGTTCAATCATTACCTGACCACTAAGCTGAGTGGAGAATTCACTGGCCACACATAACAATAATATCGACATTATATAATTAGGTAAAAGAAGTCAACAGTAATTACAACAGCAGCAGCAATGGCAACAACAAAAACCCTGGGGAAGAGGAGAATTGGATTCCTGCAGGTGCCACTGTATATTATTTAAATTTCTAGTTTTCAGCAAAATATTACAAGCTATGAACAAAGTATGGTCCATACAACAGGAGAAAAAAAAAAGAATCAATAGAAACTGGAAACCTAAGTATTCAAGTTACTAGGCAAAGACTAAATCAGCTTATCTTTAAACCTTTAAACATTTCAAAGGACTAAAGAAAATCATGGCTAAAGAACTTAAAGGAAAGCATGAGAATGGTGTTTCACCCATAAATACTGAATATCAATAATGAGATAAATTATTTTTAAAAATCCACAAAAAGTGGTGGCTCATGCCTGTAATCCCAACACTTTGGAAGGCTCAGGCAGGTGGATCCCTTGAGCCCAGAATTTCAGACAAGCCTAGGCAAGGTAGCGAGACCCTACTCTACAAAAAATTTAAAAATCAGTCGGGTATGGTGGTGTCTGTGGTCCCAGCTACATAGGAGGCTGAGGTGGGAGGATCACTTGAGCCCAGGAGGTGGGGCTGCAGTGGGCTATGATCATACCACTGCACTCAGGGCTGGGCAGCAGAGGAAGAGCCTGTCTCAAAAAAAAAAAAAGAAAGAAAAAGAAAAAATAAAGGGGTTGGGGGTAGGAGGGGGAAGAGAGGGGGAAGAGAGAGAGAGAGAGAGAGAGAGAGAGAGAGAGAGATTCTTAAGTTGTTAAGTACAAAAACTGTTGATTCTTTGAGACAGGGTCTTGCTCTGTCAGTCACCCAGGCTAGACAGAGTACACTGGGTTACAGCTCACTGCAACCCTGACATTCTGGGCTCAAGTAATTCACCCACCTCAGCCACCTGAGTAGATGGGACTACAAGCATGCATCTCCAAGCCCAGCTAATTTTTTTGTGGGGCTGGAGGTTTCATCATATTGCCCAGGCTGGGTCTCGAACTCCTGGGCTCAAGCAATCCCCACGCCTCGGCCTCCCAAAGTGCTGGGATTTACAGATGTGAGCCACCACAGCTGGCCTGTTCATTCCTTTTGATGACTAAATTTAAGAAGTACAAAAACTGAAATTAAAAAAAAAAATTAAGTGCTGAGCAACAGATTTGAGCAGGTAGAAAAAATAGTGAATTTGAAGATAGGTCAATTTATTGACCTTATTCTTTTTTATTTCTTTTTTTTTTTTTTTTTTGAGACAGAGTCTTGCTCTGTCACCAGGCTGGAGGGCAGTGGTGCAATCTCGGCTCACTGCAACCTCCACCTCCAGGCTCAAGTGATCCTCCTGCCTCAGCCTCCTGAGTAGCTGGGACTACAGGGGCATGCCACCACACCCAGCTAAATTTTTGTATTTTTTAGTAGAGATGGGGTTTCACCATGTTGGCCAGGATGGCGTTGATCTCTTGACCTCGTGATCTGCCTGCCTCGGCCTCCCAAAGTGCTGGGATTACAGACATGAGCCACCGCACTCGGCCTTATTGATCTTATTCTTTTAAGGGGGAGTAGTGGAAATCCCAATTTATAGCTGATTCATCAGGAGTATAGGTCTGCCATAGGCATCCAAAATGGAGGCAGTCTTTCTTGTGGGACTGAGTCCTTAACCTATAGAATCTGATGTTATCTCCAGGTAGACAGTGTCAACAATGAATTGAATTGGAGGACTAAGATAAGAGAGAAACTATAAAATTCTTAAAAGAAAACATAGGTGTAAATCTTCATAACCTTGCATTCACTAAGTTTTGTACACGTGACACCAAAAACACAAGGAACAAAAGTAAAAAGAAATGGGACACAATTAAAATTATTATTATTATTTTTTTGAGGTGGAGCCTTGCTCTGTTGCCCAGGCTGAAGTGCAGTGGCATGATCTCAGCTCACTGCAACTTCCACTTCCTGGGTTCAAGCGATTCTCCTGCCTCAGCCTCTCGAGTAGCTGGGATCACAGGCATGTGCCACCACTCCTGGCTAATTTTTGTATTTTTAGTAGAGATGGGGTTTTGCCATGTTGGCCAGGATGGTCTCAAACGCTTGACCTCAGGTGATCCGTCCACCTCAGACTCCCAAAGTGCTAGGATTACAGGTATCAGCCACTATCCTCGGCACAAGGTTTCTTTTTCAGATGACAAAATGTATTCTAAAATTGATTTTGGTGATGGTTACACAACTTTGTGAATATGCTAGAAACCACTAAACTATATACTTTAATGAATGGGTGAACTGTATGACATATGCATTAAAATCACAATAAAGCTGATTAGGGGGAAAAAAGGCTGGAGCCCAAACACCCAGGTCCCTCAAAGATCTTGATTTCTAAAATATCATTATTTGGCCGGTATGGTGGCTCACGCCTGTAATCTCAGCACTTTTGGAGCCCTAGGCGGGTGGATCACGAGGTCAGGAGTTCAAGACCAGCCTGGCCAAGATGGTGAAACCCCATCTCTAGTAAAACTAAAAATTAGCCAGGTGCAGTGGCAGGTGCCTGTAATCCCAGCTACTCGGGAGGCTGAGGCAGGAGAATTGCTTGAACCCGGGCAGGAGAGGTTGCAGTGAGCCGAGATCGCACCACTGCACTCCAGCCTGGGCGACAGAATGAGACTCCATCTCAAAAGATAAATAAAATAATATAAAATATCATTATTCAATAAAAGGAACCAGGGCCCTTTGGTGAAACACCTGATTCTAGATCTGTGGCAGGAAAAATAAAAGACAAGCCTAGAGCATCTTATAATGCCAAAAAGTAAGTGCTAAAGAAAACAAATTGGAGTATTTCAAAACAGCATAGGAGCCAAACTGCAAGAGCTCCTAATGGCCAAAACTAGAATAATCGAAGCTACAAAATACATAATGTAATACTGTTACCCAAAATATGAAATAAATATAAATGAGTACATACTGATAAGTATTACTGAATGGAAAAATACTGGTGGAGAAGGGTCAAATCTTCCTTACAGTAGTACTACAAATAATCATAATCCACATTCAGGTGGTGAAGTTGAATTCCCCTTTCCTAGAGTGTGGGCTGGATTTAATGACTCACTTTCTAACAATAAAGTATGGAAAGAAATAGTAGCTCTACCGTAGAGAAATCTGGCAGACATGTTAACCAAGTGATCAAGGTTAACATCACTAGCAGTAAATCATATTGGTATCATGACCTCCCTGATATGATGTAGTAAGTAAGGCACTTCATCTTTGTGGTATTCTTCCCCCAAAATCTATAACCCCATTCTAGTCATGAGAAAAACATCAGATAACCCAAATGGAGGAATATTCTACCAAACCTGACCCATCCTCTTCAAAAATTGTCAAGGTCACAAAAAATGAGGAAAGACGGAGAAATCATCAAAGACTGGAGGAGACTAAAAAGACGGGACAACTAAATACAGTGTGATATCCTGAACTGGACTCTGAAATAAGATGATGATATGGAGGCACAGGAGAATACAGAGTGACTGCTAATGAGTATGGGGATTCTTTTTGAGATGATGAAATATTCTGGAGTTAGATGGTGGTGATGGCTGTACAACCATCTGAATATACTAAAAACCACTGAACTATATACTTTAAAAGGGTGAATTTTATGGTATATGCATTATACCTTAATTAATACATTAGTGCAGAAACTGGTGAAATCTAAACTAAACTAACTGGAGATTAGTTAATAAAGCTGGAGTGGCTATCTGAATAACAGAGAAAGTATACTTTAGAACAAAAAATATTATCACAGATAAAGAGGGTAATTTCATAAGGGGATCAATTCACAAAGAAGACATAATATTAACTGTGTGTGCACTGGTAACAACAGAGCTTTAGAACACAAAATGATGTAACTAAAAACTTTTGCCACCAAATGGAAAAATAGAAAAATGCATAATTACAGTTGAAGATATCATCACTTCTCTCTCAACAGTCTAAAGCAGCAGTCCCCAACCCTTTTGGCACCAGGGACTGATTTCATTGAAGACAATTTTTCCATGGACAAGAGGGCGGAGGAGTGGGAAGGGTAGTGAGGTGGGTGTTTCGGGATGAAACTGTTCCACCTCAAGTCATCAGGCATTAGTCAGATTCTCATAAGGAACACTCAACCTAGATCCCTCACATGCCCAGTTCACAACAGGGTTCGCACTCCTTGAGAATCTAATGCCTGAGCTGATCTGACTGGAGGCTGAGCTCACCTCCTGCTGTGCGGCCTACTTCCTAACAGGCCACAGAGTTGTACCAGATCAGTATCGGGTAGGCACCCCTGGTTTAAAGTACAAGGAGACAAAAACTCAGTAAGGATATAGAAGACAATATGCCACTGAACAACAGCAGCATACAAATTATTTTTGTGGACACATAGAACACGCACCAAGACATACCATATTCTGGAACGTACAACATCTATCTACAAAGTTTAAAGAAATGACATAATACATAGCATATTCTTTGGCCACAATGAATTAAGCTAGAAATTCTGATTTTCTAAATTCAAAGATATTTAGTAAATCCCCAAACATTTGGAAATTACGTAACTGTACAAATCACAGTATAAAGAGGAAGCCACAAAGTTACTTAGAAAATTGTTTAATTGAACATGAAAAAAATGACAATGAAAATCTGTAACATACACCTAAAGCAATACTCAAATAGAAATTTTTAGAATTGCCTACACTGGAAAAAATGTAGGTCTCATTTCAATAATATAAGCTTCTACTTAAGAAATGAGAAAAATACAAAATTAGGCCAAGTGCAGTGGCTCACACCTATAATTCCAGCACTTAGGGAGGCCGAGGCGGGTGGATTCCTTGAGCGCAGGAGTTGGAGGGCAGCCTGAGCAACATGGTAAGACCTCATCTTTACAAAAAATACAAAAAGTTGCCAGCCATGATGGTGCACCCCTGAGGTCCCAGCTACTTGGGAGGCTGAGGTAGAAGGATCACTACTTAAGTTTGGGAGGTTGAGGCTGCAGTGAATCATAACCTTGCCACTGCACTCCAGCCTGGGTGACAGAGTGAGACCTTGTCTCAAAAAAACAAAACCAAACAAACAAACAAAATAAAGAGGAAAGGACAGACTATGAAATTAAACTAGAAGCAAGCAGAAGAAAGAGAACTGACATAAAAGCAGAAATCAATTAAACAAAACATCGTCTCAAAAAAAAAAAAAAAAAAAAAAAGTCTTGTGACCAGGCGCCGTGGCTTGTGCCTGTAATTCCAGCACTTTGGGAGGCCTAGGTGGGCAGGTTGCTTGAGTTCAAGACTAGTCTGGGCAAATGGTGAAACCCCATCTCTACAAAAAATACAAAAATTCGCCAAGCATGGTGGACGTGCCTGTAATCCCAGCTACTCAGGAGGCTGAGGTGGGAAAATCACCTGAGCCCAGGAGGTCGAGTCTGCAGTAAGCTGTGATCACGCCACTGCACTCCAGCCTGGGTGACAGAGCAAGACCCTGTCTCAGAAAAAAGTCTTGTTAAGATTACTTAGGGTACTAAGAGAAATCTTTGCAGTGCTGCATGAAAATTTATGTAGAATAGATGATATGCACCAATATAATAAAAGGTAGCACAGATAGCAGTAAAGAACACTGACTCAAGAAGCCAGGACTATCTGGGTTTGAATCCTGACTCTACAACTCAGCTGTTATCTTAAGCGACCCTTACTTAATTTATATTGATCGACTGATTGATTGACTGATTAAGACAGGGTTATGCTGTCACCCAGGCTAGAGTACAGTGGCACAAATATGGATCACTGCCAGCCTTGACCTCGCAGGCTCAAGCGATCCTGCCCCAGCCTCCTGAGCAGCTGAGACCACAGGCCATGACACCATGCCCAGCTAAATTTTTGATTTTTTGTAAAGATTTCACCACTTTGCCCAGGCTGGTCTCAAACTTCTGGGCTCAAGCAATCCTCCCGCTTTGGCCTCCTAAAATGCTGGGTACTCTGTGTAGTCCTAATTAGGGGAAAGGAGTCAGGCTAGTGGGACCGAGGGAAAAGCAATAAAAGAAAGCAGATAAGCCACAAGTCAGCCTTTCTTCATCGTCCAGGACACATAAGTCCTCCTGTGTAAATAACTCACAATCTTCCTGTGCCCAACTATCACCACACACCTGCAAGTTAGCTCACTGCAACCTTGGCATTTTCAGTACTCCACAAAGCCCTCTTCAGCATACAGCATAAACACTATCCTATAAAATCTCTACCAAGCCTTTGTTTCTCTGCAGTTGGCTTCTCTCTGGCAGGCTGCTGGCATCCCTCGCAATGTATTTTCCTATGTTCTCTAATAAATCTGCCTTTTTTTTGTAAATTTGAGACGGGGTCTCACTCTGTCAACCAGGCTGGAGTGCAGTGGTGCAATCTTGGCTCATAGCAACCTCCATCTCCGAGATTCAAGCGATCCTCCCATCTCAGTCTCCAGAGTAACTGGGACTACAGACGTGCACCACCAGGCCTGGCTAATTTTTCATTTAATTTTTGTAGGGACAGGGTTTCACCATGTTTCCAAGACTGGTCTCGAACTCCTGGGCTCAATGATCCTCCTGCCTCAGCCTCTCTAAATGCTGGGATTACAGGCGTGAGCCACTGCACCTGGCCTGCCTTCCTTTACTTACAACTGCCTCAGTAAATTACTTTACTCAGTAAGTTTGGACCTGGGCCACTGGTCCAAACAGCCATCGTTCTCCTGGACAGATTACAGATGTGAGCCGCTGCGTATTGCTCAATTACTTAATTTATATCTCAGTTTCCTCACCAGTAAAAAGGGGATAATAGTACTTATTTAATGCGTTTGTATGAGGATTAAATGAGGTAATGCTTGAACAATGTTTAGAACTGTGCCTGACAAATAAAAGATATAAAAATATAAATAGGTGGATGGGTGCAGTGGCTCACGCCTGTAATCTTAGCACTTTGGGAGGCTGAGGTGGGCGGATCACCTGAGGTCATGAGTTCAAGACCAGCCTGGCCAACATGGTGAAACCCCATCACTTACTAAAAATACAAAAATTAGCTGGGCGTGATGGCAGTTGCCTGTAATGCCAGCTATTCAGGAGGCTGAGGAAAGACGGAGGGAGAGTGGGAGAGAGAGAGAGAGAGAGAGAGAGACAGACAGACAGACAGACAGACAGAGAGGGGCAAAAATCATGAAGGCTGTTTTATATATTGCTAATTTTCACTGTTTTACCTCTTTTACCTACTTGCCCTTAGATTATAATACTACCAGCTTTAGATAAGACAACTGGAAAGATTAATACCAACCTTAAGACCTTGATGATTATGGAATTAGTTTTCTTAGAGCCTTACCAAACCTAATTATATTCCACTTAAATCTTAATAAATATTGGTTAGTAGTATTAATGGGGTTTCTGTATTTTCTCTAAGCATCTAATATTTTGAATTATTCTTGAACTTTCAGCTTTTTGACCATTATCTACTATATAATCTTTTAAAAATACTACCTTCATCACGCTTGTAATCCCAGCACTTTGGGAGGCTGAGGCGGGCGGATCACGAGGTCAGGAGATTGAGACCATCCTGGCTAACAAGGAGTAACCCCATCTCTACTAAAAACAGAAAAAATTAGCCGGGCATGGGTGCCGGGCACCAGTAGTCCCAGCTACTCGGGAGGCTGAGGCAGGAGAATGGCATGAACCTGGGAGGCGGAGCTTGCAGTGAGCCGAGATCGCGCCACTGCACTCTAGCCTGGGCAACAGAGTGAGACTCCGTCTCAAAAAAAAAAAAAAAAAAATTCAATCATAAGTAGTTTTAATGTGACCCTTTTGACTTTATTCTAGAAGTAGTTTTTTTTTTTAAGATGGAGTTTCGCTCTGTTGTCCAGCTCACTGCAACCTCCACTTCCCAAATTCAAGCTGTTCTCTTGCCTCAGCCTCTGGAGTAGCTGGGATTACAGGCATGTGCCAACATGCCTGGCTAATTTTTGTTATTTTTAGTACACTTGGGGTTTCACCATGTTGGTCAGGCTGGTCTCGAACTCTTATTTATTTTATTTGTTTTTTAGATGGAGTCTCGCTATTGCCCAGGCTGGAGTGCAGTGGCACGATCTCGGCTCACTGCAAGCTCCGCCTCCCGAGTTCATGCCATTCTCCTGCCTCAGCCTCCTGAGTAGCTGGGACTAGAGGCGCCCTCCACCATGCCCGGCTACATTTTTTGTATTTTTAGTAGAGACGGGGTTTCACCATGTTAGCCAGGATGGTCTCGATCTCCTGACCTCGTGATCCGCCCACCTCGGCCTCTCAAAGTGCTGGGATTACAGGCGTGAGCCACCGCCCCCGGCCTTATGATTGATTTTTTTAAAGCATCATGCCTAAAGTATGCTTACATTACCACTAGAAGAGGTAACATTGGTTGGTGTGCTTCTGGTAAGGCTATTTAAATTGTACTAAGAACTCCTTCAGCGGAGTTTACAATCCTCAACTATTCAGCTGAAGTTAACATTCAGGGGGAATATCCTGCTGTAATGCTTCCCTGAGCAATTATACAATTTTATCTCTATCTCTATTACTTTACTTATTTTTCAGAACCTTATTAACTGTTTATTTACTTATTTATTTTTGAGATGGAGTCTTGCTCTGTCGCCCAGGCTAGAGTGCATTGGCGCAATCTTGGCTCACTGCAACCTCCGCCTCCCGGGTTCAAGCAATTCTCCTGTTTCAGTCTCTCGAGTAGCTACAGGCGCATGCCACCACACCTGGCTAATTTTTGTATTTTTAGTAGAGACAGGGTTTCACCATGTTGGTCAGGCTGGTCTCGAACTCCTGACCTCAGGTGATCCACCTGCCTTGGCCTCCCAAAGTGCTGGGATTACAGGTGTGAGTCACCATGCCCAGCCCTTATTAAAAATTTAAACATACTATTTCACATGTATATGGTGACCTATAGTTACCTATGTATTACCTCATACACATATTTAATACTCCTACTTCAGCCAACTTGTCACTGAAATTTCTTCCCTTTTTGAAATTTTATGAAATAAGATATAACTTGCTATTAACATATGAATATAAGATCTCATACCATTTCAGTTATATTCACAGAACAATATAATGATTTTAAAAGAAGAAGGGAAGGTACTAGAATCAGTAGCCCTGTGTTGTAGCCCTGGCATGATTCTTGACTATTTAATTTACATTTTTCTATCTTTTATTTGTCAGGCACAATTCTAAGCATTGTCTTTGCTAGGCCTCTGACCTTAGGTCAACTCATTTAAATCTCTGGATTTCAAGTTCCTTTTTATGTAAAATGGCAAAAAACACTGACCCTAGGGAGTTATCATGAGGATCATATACAAATTTTAAGAGAAACTTCAAAAATGGATCCCAAGACACAATTATTTTTTAATTTTTAGAGACAGGGTCTCACTATGTTGCCCAAACTCAAGACCTCAAGTGATTTTCCCACCTCAGCCTACTGAGTAGCTGGGACTACAGGGGTGTGGCACCACGACTGGCTCCAAGATAATCTTAA
Organism: Homo sapiens; assembly: GCF_000001405.40. Taxonomy (NCBI): domain Eukaryota; kingdom Metazoa; phylum Chordata; class Mammalia; order Primates; family Hominidae; genus Homo; species Homo sapiens. The sequence continues at coordinate 33,875,444 of NC_000009.12, read as the reverse complement.
ATCATCAAATCAAAGGTTAAATCATTATCATTGTATTGAGGAGCATTAATAAATATTAAAGTATTTTCCACAAGAAGTAAAAGGGAAAATAAAGTTCAATATATTAGAAAATTTGCTCTTACCCATTATAGATCTTAGTAATTTCAGGGTATGATTTGAACAAACTAAATTTATGAGAACAAGGGAAATGTAAACATTGACTGGATATTAAGGAATTATGAGCTTTTATAGTTGTGATAATAGTATTACAGTTAGGTCTCAAAAATACATGTTATTTAGTTGGTGCTGTAGTAATTTTCATTTAAAGTTTTTTAAAAAGTAAAACAAAACTTGGCCAGGAGCAGTGGCTCACGCCTGTAATCCCAGCACTTTGGGAGGTCGAGGCAGGTGGATCACAAGGTCAGGAGTTCGAGACCAGCCTGGCCAATTAAAAAAAAAAAAAGGTAAAACAAAACATATTTTAAAAATACATTTTGAGGCCGGGTACAGTGGCTCATGCCTATAATCCCAGCACCTTGCGAGGCTGAGGCGGGAGGATCAACTTGAGCCCAGGAGTTCAAAACTAGCCTCAGCAACATAGCGAGACCCCCAACTCTACAAAAAAATTATTTAAAATTAGCTAGCCATGGTGGTGTGCACTTGTAGTCCTGGCTACTCAAGAGGCTGAGGTGGGAAGATTGCTTGAACCCAGGCTGCAGTGAGCTATGATCCTGACATTGCACCCCAGTATGGGAGACAAGTCGAGACCCTGTCTCAAAACAAACAAACAAACAAAAAACTATTCTGAAATTTTCACAAATGAAATGAAAAGTAGAAATTAATTACAAAATAAAATGGAGGAGGGGGCGGGTAGGATAAATAATAATAATATATATACATATATAAAAACAATGTGTGCATATATATTTCTTCATATGCATTATGTATATATTTAAAAAGACTGAAAAGACACATTCCTAACCATTAACAATGATCAGCTCAGGAACAGAGGGCAACGGAGGAAGAATGGGGCATTTAAAGAACTTTGTAACTTCTTTATGACTGATATAATAAACATGTTATTATTTTTATAAACTGAAAAAAGAAGATTTTTCACTTGTGAATCTTCTATACAATGGTCTATGCCTACTTTGCACTGAAAATTGACATCTGGAATGATACACTCAATTAAGTTTGAAAATATAAAAACTAAGTTAAGGCTGGGCACGGTGGTTCATGCCTGTAATCCCAGCACTTTGGGAGCCCGAGGCAGGCAGATCACTTGAAGTCAGGAGTTCAACACCAGCCTGGCCAACATGGTGAAACCCCATCTCTACTAAAAATACAAAAATTAGCCGGGCATGGCAGCGGGCACCTGTAATCCCAGCTACTTGGGCGGCTGAGACAGGAGAATTGCTTGAACTCGGGAAGCAGAGGTTACAGTGAGCGGAGATCGTGCCACTGCACTCCAGCCTGGGTGACAGAACGAAATTCCATCCAAAAAAAAAAAAAAAATTTAGGCCAGGCACAGTGGCTGGTTCATGCCTGAAACCCTAGCACTTTGGGAGGCCAAGGCAGGCGGATCGCTTGAGCCCAGAAGTTCAAGTTCAGCCTGGACAACATGGTGAAACCCCGTCTCCACACACACCGTAATTTTTTTAACTTAGCCAGGCATGATGGCTTGAGCCTATGACCACTCAGGATGCTCAGGTGGCAGTATCCGCTTGAGCCTGGGAGGTCAAGTATGCAGTGAGCCATGATGGTACCACTGCATTCCAGCCTGTGTGACAGAGCGAGACCTGGCCCCTCCCCAAAAAAGTTTTAATATAAATTACAGGATATTTTTCATTCGAAATTGTGTACATATGAAATCTATGAGTTATAACTGAACTTCCTTAAGAAGTTTGATAGCCTTAGGGAGTCTTATGTTTAGGTCACATATGGAATTATCATCTTTACTTTGCAGTTATACAGTGCATATACATAAGCACTGGTTCTTTCTGCAGTAACCTTTTATTCAAGTTATCAATAAACTTTTGCTTAATCATGCTATCTGTTAAACTGTAAAAATAATAACTTAGTAATAGTTCATTATATCTAGAAGTCACAGTTGGCTGTCCAGCCCTAAATGACCTAGGAGACATTTTACCATTGCTGTGCTAAGGGGTGGGGGAAAAAAACAGCAGCACAAAATTAAAGAGAAAAATGACTTTCATTTACCTACAGGTCCATTTAATTAAGTTAAAGTAGTATCTATGATATTAGATCTTTTTTTTTTTTTTTTTTTTTTTAAGACGGAGTCTTGCTCTGTCGCTCAGGCAGCAGTGCAGTGGCGTGATCTCTGCTGACTGCAACCTCCACCTCCCAGGCTCAAGCAATTCTCCTGTCTCACCCACCCAAGTAGCTGGGATTACAGGTGCCTGCCACCACATCCAGCTAATTTTTGTATTTTTAGTAGAGATGAGGTTTCACCATGTTGGCCAGGCTGCTCTCAAACTCCTGACCCCAAGTGATCCATCTGCCTCAGCCTCCTAAAGTGCTGGGATTACAGGTGAGAGCCACAGAGCCCGGCCTGATATGAAATCTTAACCATTTATTTCTGAAACCGTTAAGCAAGTGTACTAAAGCGTTATCTGCTAACCAAATTCATACACACACCAAATCTTTTTTTTTTTTTTTGAAATGGAGTTTCGCTCTTGTTGCCCAGGCTGGAGTGCAGTGGTGCGGTCTTGGCTCACTGCAACCTCCACCTCCCAGGTTCAAGCGATTCTCCTGCCTCAGCCTCCTGAGTATCTGGAATTACAGGCATGTGCCACCATGCCCTGCTAATCTTGTATTTTTAGTAGAGACGGGGTTTCTCCATGTTGGTCAGGTTGGTCTTGACCTTCTGACCTCAGGTGATTTGCCCGCCTTGGCCTCCCAAAGTGCCGGGATTACAGGCGTGAGCCACCATGCCTGGTGCCTCGATTTTTAAATATTGAAGTTTACCATTTAAAAAAATTATCATCTGTAACTTCCTCTCAATTTTGCTGTTAACCTAAAAACTGCTCTGAAAGAGGGTCTTTTTCTTCTTTTGAAACAAGGTCTCACTCTGTCACCAAGACCAGTGCCATGGCATGATCACAGCTCACTGCAGCCTCAATCTTCTGGGCTCAAGTGAATCTCCTGCCTCAGCCTCCCAAATAGCTGGAACTACAGGTATACACCACCACGCCTGGATAACTTTTTTTTTTTTTTGGTAGAGATAGTTCCCCATGTTCCCCAGGCTGGTCTCGAACTCCTGGACTCAAGAGATCCCCCTGCCTCAGTCTCCCATGGTGCCTCATGCTTGTAATCCCAGCTTGAGCCACCATGCCCAGCTAAAAAAATAGTCTTTAATTAAAAAAAAATTATTCATGAGGTAAAGTTTTAAATTTGACCTATATATCAGCTGTCTCAAGAAATACAGGAAATAGGCCGGGTGCAGTGGCTCACACCTGTAATGCCAGCACTTTGGGAGGCTGAGGCAGGCGGATCACGAGGTCAGGAAATGGAGACCATCCTGGCTAACATGGTGAAAACACGTCTCTACTAAAAAAATACAAAAAATTAGCCATGCATGGTGGCACACACCTGTAGTCCCAGCTACTCAGGAGGCTGAGGCTGGAGAATTGCTCGAACCCAGGAGGTGGAGGTTGCGGTGAGCCAAGATCACGCCACTGTACTCCAGCCTGGGCGACAGAGCGAGACTCCGTCTCAAAAAAAATAAATACGGAAATGAATCTGAGACGTCACTCAATAGAAGCAATTGTTACAGAAGTTAATTACAATCTTGAGAGGCTCTTTTTCGGGCAACTCCTTACATCTTTTTTGACTAATACGCAAACTCATAAGAACAAGTACTTCCTCTAGTCCATCGCAAATAGAATTAAAAATAAATAAATAAAAAGAACAAGTACCTCCAAAATACATTTCTGTACCATTACCACATATGTTCTCCCTAAAATGCCTGAACCACTCACAAGCATATCCTATTTAAATTAATTTTTAAAGTTTCAACTCACCCTGACAATGGACTAAGTGTACCCTCAATGAAATCACCGAACTCATCAGACACCTATTTTTAGTTATACAAACACTATTTATGTAAATATTTTCACTTATTCAATTTCTCAACATATTGTTAACTGAAAACCAAACATGTTACCATGTACCAATATGGGAGGTAGGAAATAAACATATTTAGAACACTATGCCTGAATGGCTATGTTTTAATTAAAAGACAGGCATGCAAATAAATGATTACAAATTAAGTGCCTCAAATGAAATCTCTACTAGTTGCTTAAAGAGCACAGTGAAATAAATGCCTAATTCTGGCTGAGACATTCAGGTAAAATTTACAAAGGGGTACTACTTGAGCCAAGTATTGAGGCCAAGGTGAAAGGGACCTTACAGGCAAAGGGAAAAATAATGCAGAAAGGCTTACACATGTGAGCAAAGACAGAGGCAGTTGGAATAAACACAAAACGTATTTTTGAGACACACAGGAAGTATAGTCAATGAGACTCTGTAATTGATTTAATATTGGGATTGAGGAGAAAGAAAAATTCAAGGACAACTCTCAGTTTTCTATATTGAGGAAATAAGTGAACAATGACAGATCCAAGTAGTGATAAATAATACTCATTAAGTGCTTACTATATGTCAGCCATTGAGCTAACTGTATCACTTCACTCAGTTGTGAAATTAACAGTTAAGAAAATATAGACATAAATGCATATGACCTATTTATTGAGGAGTAGATAATTTTCCAGTCATCTATGACTACCAAAAAGCATTTTCCCATTTATCATTTTGTCTTCTTGAACCACTTTATTTCCTGGGGTTCTCCAATTTCACTGTCTCCTAATGCTCTAACTTTTCTACTCACTCGTTCTCATACTTCTTGGCTCCTCCCAAGATCCTCTTTTTAATTTAATGTACCCTCATCATAACTTTCCTTGGTTTCCTATTCTCCCCAAACATAGTACATTATAAAAATAAAAGCCGGGCATGGTAACTCACGCCTGTAATCTCACCATTTTGGGAGGCCGAGGTGGGCAGATCACCTGAGGTCAGGAGTTCGAGACCAGCCTGGCCAACTTGGTGAAACCCCATCTCTACTAAAAATACAAAAATTAGCTGGGAATGGTGGCATGAGCCTGTAATTCCAGCTACTGAGGAGTCTGAGGCAGGAGAATCGCTTGAACCCAGGAGGCAGAGGTGGCAATGAGCCGAGAGTGTGCCACTGCACTCCAGCCTAGGTGACAAAGCGAGATTCGATCTCAAAAAAATAAAAATAAGGCTGGGCACAGTGGCTCATGCCTGTAATCTCAGCACTTTGGAAGGCCAAGGCGGGTGGATCACGAGGTCAGGACTTCAAGACCAGACTGACCAATATAGTGAAACCTAGTCTCTACTAAAAATACAAAAATTAGCTGGGTGTGGTAGCACATTCCTGTAATCCCAGCTACTCAGGAGACTGAGGCAGGAGAATCGCTTGAACCCAGGAGGCGGATGTTTCGGTGAGCCGAGATCGCGCCATTGCACTCCAGCCTGGGCAACAAGAGCGAAACTCCATCTCAAAAAAATAAAAAAACAAAAACAAAACAAAAAATAATTTAAAAATAAAAAATATCTAGGCAAAGATGTACCCTAAAATGCATAAGCAAAAAGTCATTAAAAAACATTATGTCCCGGCCAGGCACGGTGGCTCACACCTGTAATCCCAGCACTTTGGGAGGCTGAGGTGGGCAGATCACCTGAGGTCAGGAGTTCCAGACGAGCCTGGCCAACATGGTGAAAACCCCGTCTCTACTAAATATACAAAATTAGCCGGGTGTGGTGGTGGGCACCTGTAATTCCAGCTACTAGGGAGGCTGAAACAGGAGAATCACTTGAACCCGGGAGGCCTCAGAGATTGCAGTGAGCTGAGACTGCACCATTACACTCCAGCCTGGGCAACAAGAGCGAAACTCTGTCTCAAAATAAATAAATAAATAAATAAATAAATAAATAAATAAAACATTGTATATGTAACTATGTAAAACCAAGTATAAACTGACTTGGAGCAAAATTTAGGTAACCCCCAATGTGCAGTATTAAATAAGTTTTGTTATCCTACTAATTATTTTCAGATGGAATTTCAGCAATGACAAAAAAAATTACATGTTTTTGTTTGTTTTGAGACAGGGTCTCTTGCCCTGGCGGGAGTACAGTGGCACAATCTGGGCTCACTGCAGCCTCGACCTCCCGGGCTCAAGCAATCCTCCTACCTCAGCCTCCCAAGCAGCTAGGACTAGAGGCCTGCACCACCACACCCAACTAGTTTTTTTCATTTTTAGTAGAGACAGGATTCTGCCATATTGCCCAGGCTGGTCTTGAGCTCCCAAGCTCAAGCAATCCACCCACCCCAGTCTCCCAAAGTGCTGAGATTATAGGCGTGAGCCACCATGCCTGGCCAAAAAACAATTACATATGAATAATGAAATATATCCCAATTATTCCTGCTACCTATTTATTAACATACTATTAAGTAGGTGAAAAAGTTTCCTAGTCCTAAATACAATTGTACTTGGTAATAGCTCAGCTGATGGCAAATGTAGTGGTTACTGTTGTATTTGGATTTGTGCCTGGATTTAGTGTGAAATGAGGATATTCCCACTGCTGAGTTTTTCTGCTACGTCATCAGATCACATCTGCCATAGGATATGTTTCCAACATAACATCAGCAAAAGCAATCAAGACATATTTTTTGGGGGGAGGGTAGAGCAGGTTTTCATTTTTCCAAAAATTGCACCAAGGTAAAGCAAAGCTCTAGCTGAGGCGGGAGTGTTGTGTAGGCATTAGCAGTGCTGCCCTTGTTATGCAATCCTTGGACAGCAGCGCAACCCCAAGAAAAGGGTGGTTAAAACATGCTTTCTTATTAACTTGCTCAAAGTGTCAAAAGTCTGCCAACTACAAATCTTTAAAATGTTCAATAATAGTATGTGGGAAAAAAAAGTGTGTGTACACACACACATCCCCCCTAGTAAGGCTATATAATGTGCTGCAGGTTTTAAGGTCAAACTGACAGAAAGGCTGGGATCCTGGCTAAGCCCCACCCTTAAGTTTGTCCTAAGTGAAAACAGCTGACCCTATTTTTCAGCCCAAATGTTGCCTTTTTGGCCTGCCCCGCCCCTATCCTGTGCCCATAAAAAGACTTCAGCTGGCAGAGCAACACAAGCGGCTGAGTGTCAAGGATACAAGCAGCTGAGCATAGGAAAAATTCGGCTATCTTCAGACAGTGCGGCTTCGGAGAGGGGCCTGCCAGAGACAGCCCAGCTTCAGGGAAAGATCACCTTCCCATCCCCTTTCCAGCCTCCCTTTCCGCTGAGAGCCACCCACTGCTCAATAAAGTCTTCTGCATTCATCACCTTTCAAACAGTTCGTGTGAGCTGATTCTTCCTGGACACCGAACAAGAACAGGGTGCTGAGAGGACAGGGGCCACCATCCTGACTGACCCTCCACTGAGGTGGCTGGCACTTGGCAGGCCCTGTCTTGCTCTGTTACCCAGGCTGGAGTATCGTGGCACGATCTCAGCTCACTGTAGCCTCTACCTCCCAGGTTCAAGCAATTCTCCTGCCTCAGCCTCCCAAGTAGCTGGGAGTACAGGCGCATACCACCATGCCCAGCTAATTTTGGATTCAGGAGGCTGAGGAAGGAGAATGGCGTGTACCCAGGAAGCAGAGCTTGCAGTGAGCAAAAGACTTGAACAGGCATTTCACAAAAGAGGATATCTAAATGCCAGTAAATAAATTCAGTTAATATGGTGTTCAACATCATTAGTCATCAAGGAAATGCAAATTAAAAGCAAAATACCTAAAATGAAAAAGACTAGCAAAGATGCAAAACTACCATAACTCTCATATAGCGCTTATAGGAATGCAGAACAGGTACAACCAGCTTAGAAAACTGGCAATCTTACTACACCTGTACATATATGTAGCCTAAGGTTCAAAAAGTCCACTCCTTAATAAATATTTTCACCAAAATACAAAAACTGAAATGTTCATAAATAGGAATATACATACAGACAAAATCTGAAACTACCCAAATGACCCTCAATAGGAGAATGGATGAAGTGGAAGAGTCATTTATAGATTACTACCTAGCATGAGAACAAATGATCTACAACTACACATAATGTGGGTAAATCACATCAACATATATGACAAAGAAGCCTGACACAAAAGAGATTCAAAAAATAAAAAAAATTATGGCCGGGCACGGTGGTTCACGCTTGTAATCCCAGCACTTTTGGAGGCCGAGGCGGGCAGATCACAAGGTCAGCAGATTGAGACTGAAATGGTGAATTTTATGTTATATATACTTTACCACCAAAAAAACCAGGAATATTTAGGACATTGGAGGGGACAAAAGTTTTAAAATAGGACACAAAAAGTAATATCCATAAAAGAAAACATTGATAATTCTGATTTTATTAAAACCAAGAACTTCTGTTTCATCGAAAAAATCATTAAAACAGGGAACAAGCAAGCCACAGAGTGGAAGAAGTTATTCACAATACATGTATGTGGATTCACATACACAATCCAACAAATGATTTAATATGCACAGTATATAAAGAACTCCTATGAATAAAGAGTATGACTCTATTATGAAATTCAAGAATAAGCAAAATTAATTCATACTGTTAGAAATTAGGATAGGGATTATCCTGGGAGATGGGAAGATGGTTCTGTAAGAGAACACAAGAAAGGGCTTCTTGTAGTACTGGCAATTTTCTTTTTTCATGATCTGAAGACTAGATATACAGATGCCCCAGTGTGTGAAAATCCACCAACTGCTATATTTATGACACATACAACTTTCTACCTTCACATGTTTTGATCAAATTAAAAATGTTGGCTGGGTGCGGTGACTCACGCCTGTAATCCCAGTACTTTGGGAAGCCTAGGCGGGTGGATCGCCTGAAGTCAGGAGTTCGAGATCAGCCTGACCAACAAGGTGAAACTCCGTCTCTACTAAAAATACAAAAATTAGCCAGGCGTGGTGGCAGGCACCTGTAGTCCCAGCTACTCGGGAGGCTGAGACAGGAGAACTGCTTGAACCTGGGAGGTGGAGGTTGCAGTGAGCTGAGATCATGCCACTGCACTCCAGCCTGGGTGAGGGAGCAAGACTCTGTCTCAAAAAAAAAAAAAAGTTAATTACATTTCAGTTAAGTATGATAACCATGTGTATTTAAAGAGATTTTATACTCTGTCAGAGTTCAGGGATGAATTACTGATAAGCACATTAGAAAACTAAATGTGAGCCGGGCACCAGTGACTCACGCCTGTAATCTCAGCACTTTGGGAGGCTGAGGTGGGTGGATCACCTGAGGTCAGGAGTTCGAGACTAGCCTGGCCAACATGGTGAAGCCCCATCTGTACTAAAAATTCAAAAATTAGCCGAGTGTGGTGGTGGGCACCCGTAATCCTAGCTACTCAGGAGGCTGAGGCAGGACAATCACTAGAACCTGGGACGTGGAAGTTACAGTGAGCCGACATCACTCCACTGCACTCTAGCCTGGGCAACAAGAGTGAGACTCCATCTCAAAAAAAAAAAAACAAAAAAAAACACACAAAAAAACTAAATGTGGAGGGATGAAGAGGAATTCCAGCAAAAACAAAAAACAAAACACTACACTACATGTGAAAGAAAAGGTAATAATGGTGTATGACATGGTTCAACCGGAACTATTATTTACATAGTTATATTAATGTAAACACTGAAAATTAGTCTAAATTAAAACTATAACTACTGGAAATATGGAGAGCTAATGAATACGTTTATGGGATGGGGTGTTACAGTAATGAGAGAAATCCTCATCTTCCACAGTAGAAGTATGATAGTTAACAACAAACTAGAAATTTTAAAAATGAAAAACGGCATTTAAAATATTTAGAAGGCCAGGCGTGGTGGCTCACGCCTGTAATCCCAGCACTTTGGGAGGCCAAGGCAGGCAGATCACGAGGTCAGGAGATCAAGACAAGCCTGGCCAATATGGTGAAACCCCGTCTCTACTAAAAAATACAAAAATTAGCCGGGCATGGTGGTGCACTCCCAGCTACTCGGGAGGCTGAGGCAGGAGAATCGCTGAACCCAGGAGGTGGAGGTTGCGGTGAGTGAGCCGAGATCGCACCACTGCACTCCAGCCTGGGCAACAGAGCAAGACTCTGTCTTAAAAAAATAGATAGATAGATAGATAGAGAGAGAGACAGAGAGACAGACAGAAAGGAAGTAAGTTGGGCACAGTGGCTCACACTGCAATCCCAGCACTTTGGGAGGTCAAGGTGGGAGGATCACTTGAACCCAGGAGTTCAAGACCAGCCTGGGCAACATGTCAAGACCCCATCTCTACAAAAACATTTTAAAAGTTGGCTGGGCGTGGTGGCTCACGCCTGTAATCCCAGCACTTTGGGAGGCCAAGGTGGGCAGATCACCTGAGGTCAGGAGTTCAAGACCAGCCAGCCAACACAGCGAAACCCTATCTCTACTAAAAATACAAAAATTAGTCGGGTGTGGTGGCACACGCCTGTAATCCCAGTTACTTGGGAGGCTGAGGCGGGAGAATTGCTTGAACCCAGGAGGCGGAGGTTGCAGTGAGCCAAGATCACGCCATTGTACTCCAGCCTGGGCAACAAGAGTGAAACTCTGTCTCAAAAAAAAAAAAAAAAAAAATTAAAAGTTAGCTGAGATTGGTGGCAGGCCTGCAGTCCCAGCTACTCAGGAGGCTTCAGCGGGAGAATAGTTTGAGCCCAGGAATTCGTGGCAGCAGTGGACTATGACTGCAACACCACACTCCACCCTGGGCGACAAAGCAAGACACCATCTCTTAAAAAGTAAATTAAGAATATTTAGAAATGTGGGAGTAATTCCAGAAGAGTTGAAAAGGTTCAAAGTATGTTATTACTTTCATAACAACTTTTTAAATAGTTGATTCAATTGTTAATAACAATAGAATTATTTAGCATTTTGGGCTCTCAGAGTTTCTATTATTATTACCATGTGTTACATATATATAACTCATGAATGGTTTGTTATGGCTAATCTAAGAAATGGGATCCTTGACAGCCAGGATAAGACATCCTGGGTAACTGATCTTCTGAACACAGGAGCTCAAAGCTACATGGCCTGTCTGCTTTCCACCACAAGGAAAGACATTCTAGTGCTAAGAAGTTTTTCCTTTCCGTTTTTTTCTGCCCTTATTGATGAAGTATCTTTAACACCTCATATACTTACATATATGAACATCAGCAGATAAAATTAGTAATCAGGCCAGACATGGTGGCTCCTACCTGTAATCCCAGCACTTTAGGAGGCTGAGGCAAAAGGACTGCTTGCTTGAGACCAGGAGTTCAAAGCCAGCCTGGCCAACATGGTGAAACCCCATCTTTACTAAAAACACAAAAATTAAACGGGGCCATGGTGGTACATGCCCGTAATCCCAGCTACTCAGCAGGCTGAGGCATGAGAATAGCTTGAACCTAGGAGGCAGAGGTTGCAGTGAGCCATGATGAAATCCCATCTCTACTAAAAATACAAAAATTGGCCAGGCGTGGTGGTACATGCCAGTAGTTCCAGCTACTCAGGAGGCTGAGGCAGGAGAATCCATTGAATCCGAGAGGCGGAGGATGCAGTGAACCGAGATCATGCCACTGCACTCCAGCAGAGTGAATGACACAACGAGATTCTATCTCAAAAAACAAACAAAACCCAATAAAATTAGCCATCAGTTTTGCCCCATATTAGAATGTCCTTAATATAAGTTTAAAATGATAATAATTCCAAAACATACAAAATAAACATCAATTATATTCTTTCTAAATTTTTCACGAAAAACACTAAATCTACCATGCACTTTTTTTTTTTTTGTTTTTTGGAGATGGAGTTTCTCTCTGTCCCCCAGGCTGAAGTACACTGGCAACGCAATCTTGATCTCGGCTCACTGCAACCTCTGCCTCCCGGGTTCAGGCGATTCTCCTGCCTGAGCCTCCCAAATAGCTGGGATTACAGGCACGCACCACCACGCCCTGCTTATTTTTGTATTTTTAGTAGAGATGGGGTTTCACCATGTTGACCAGGCTGGGACCTCAGGTGATGAATCTGCCCTGGGCTCCAAAAGTGCTGGGATTACAGGTGTGAGCCACCACGCCCGGCTTACCATGTACCCATGTACTTTCTTTCTTTTCTTCTTCTTTTTTTTTTTTTTTTGAGGGAGTCTCGCTCTGTTGCACAGGCTGCAGGAGTGCAGTGGCACGATTTTGGCTCACTGCAACCTCTGCCTCCCGGGTTCAAGGGATTCTCCTGCCTCAGCCTCCTGAGTAGCTGGGATTACAGGTGCGTGCCACCATGCCTGGCTAATTTTTTGTATTTTTAGTAGAGATGTGGTTTCACCATGTTAGCCAGGATGGTCTCAATCTCCTGACCTCATGATCTGCCCACCTAGGCCTCCCAAAGCAGATGTGAGCCACCATGCTGGTATACTTTCTTTAGGCATGACACCAAAGATTAAAAACCTTAAAGAAAGTAATAGATGAATTTTATAAAATAAAAGTTAAACAATTCTATATAACAAAACATACTGTTTATATGTTAAAGGCAAAACCACAAAATGGGGGAAATGTTTAAAATTTTTTTCAAAGCGTTATATGAGTGTTTCTAAATCAAGACATAAAGACAAACCCTTCTACAGTAAAACAGGCAAAGGACACAAGCCAAAAAGAAGAAACATACTCTACTACTTACCAGACTATTCATAGATTTTTTGAGGATTCTGAGAAGCTTAGCTAGAAAACCACTCCTATAAGCAAAGTGTGTCAGCAACTTTTAAAAAATATAGGATAGCATTTTTTTGTGCATACTAGTGGGAAAAAATGAGAGCACACGGCATGTAATTCAGCCAAAGAGAGAAATATATGTCAAACATCAAGCTTATTGACAAGAAAAGAAATGAGCAGTTTGCCTATATACTATCTTTGGCAGTTCTGTCTAATTTAGCCAGCAGGAAAAGACACTCCCAAATTCTTGGGCAGGCGGCTAACATAACGAAAGAAGTTCTGGATATGAGGTGTGTATGACAACCGAATGGGGTTAAACTACCAGATATGAAGGAGCAAAAGTCTAGGTTATAATGATGGCAAAGGCAAAAGAGAATAAGGAAGACATCGAAATCACTAACTTTTGGTTGTTTATCATACCAAATGATAAGCAATAAAGTTTTATTACCAACTATGAAAGTGGATCAACAGGCCGGGCACGGTGGCTCATGCCTGTAATTCCAGCACTTTGGGAGGCCGAGGCAGGTGAATCATGAGGTCAGGCGTTCGAGATCAGCCTGGCCAACATAGTGAAACCCTGTCTCTACTAAAAATAAAAAAAACTAGTCAGGCATGGTGGCAGGCGCCTATAATCCCAGCTACATGGGAGGCTGAGGCAGGAGAATCACTTGAACCTGGAAGGCAGAGGTTGCACTGAGCCAAGATCGTGCCACTGCACTCCAGCCCGGGCGACAGTGTGAGACTCCGTCTTAAAAAAAAAAAAAAAAAAAAAAAAGAAAGTGGATCAACAAATGGTATCTCTGGGGACAGTCATTTGGAAAAGAAACAACAGACTGAAAAGATTTAAAACACTTTCATCAATCCATATTTTACTCCATCAAAAAACATTCAAGTTTACCTTAAATATGTTACTGCTTTTGAAAAAGTACACAAAATAAACCCTTTAAAATTAAAATTGCAGAAGACTGTCAGATACTGTTGTTTCCCATTATCTAATTAATGAAGACTAGCTTGTTCAAACTTTTTTTTTTGAGACAGGGTCTCACTCTGTCGCCTAGGCTAGAGTGCAGTGGCATGATCTCAGCTCACTGCAACCTCCACCTACTGCAACCTCCACCTCCCAGGTTCAAGAGATTCGTGTGCCTCAGCCTCATAAGTAGCTGGGATTATAGGCTATGCGTGGCTAACTTTTGTATTTTTGTATTTTCTATTTTTTGTAGAGATGGGGTTTGTAGAGATGTCGGCCAGGCTAGTCTCAAACTCCTGACCTCGGGCAATCTGCCCGCCTCGGCCTCCCAAAGTGCTGTGATTAGAGGCATGAGCCACCAACCCCGGCCTGCTTTTTAAAACTTAACACAAGGTTGGCCAGGCGCAGTGGCTCACGCCTGTAATCCCAGCACTTTGGGAGGCCGAGGCGGGCGGATCATGAGGTCAGGAGATCGAGACCATCCTGGCTAACACAGTGAAACCCCCTATCTACTAAAAAAATAGAAAAAATTGGCCGGGCGTGGTGGCGGGCGCCTGTAGTCCCAGGTACTCTGGAGGCTGAGGCAGGAGAATGGCGTGAACCCAGGAGGCGGAGCTTGCAGTGAGCCGAGATCGCGCCACTGCACTCCAGCCTGGGGGACAGAGCGAGACTCCGTCTCAAAAAAAAAAACAAAAAACAAACAAACAAACAAAAAAAAACTTAACACAGGGTTAACGATTGTGGGGAGGGGGTGGGGAGGGTGGGGTGTCTCAGTCTGTCACCTAGTCTGGAGTACAGTGGCATGATCATAGTTCACTGCAGCCTTAAACTCCTGGGCTCAAGAGATCATCCCACCTCAGCCTTCCAAGTAGCTAGGGCTACAGGCCACCACACCCACAATATTTATTTAATTTTTTTGTAGAGATGGGATCTCACTATGTTGCCCAGGCTGGCTTCAAACTCCTATACTCAAGTGATCTTCCTGCCTCAGCCTCCCAAAATTGGTGGGATTACAGGTGTGAACCAACATGCCAGGCCTTGAGTTAACTCATATTCTATTTTACCACACCACCCCTAGAAAGAAGAAAATTCAAACAAATAAAACAAATAAAGTCAAACAAAAAATGAAAATCTGATGTCATACAACCATGAATCTGTGAAAATTCTGATTTCAAGCACACAAGAATTCAAAGAATGAACAAAGGAAAAGGTATTGACAGCAATGTTTTTACACAGCCAAAGAGTGGTAGGGCGTAGTAACAGGTCACTACCACAGGATGCTGGAGTCTCTTCCAAAAATGTATCTGCCACTTATAACCTAATTAATGACAGAAAATGTCAGGGGAAAGCAACTAGGAATCAGAGGAAAGGGGATGGTAATAAAAACATAAACTTACACAAAAGGCTAAAATGTCAGGAGGAAAAGAGGCTTGTGTATCAATATTTTGCCTGTCAGGAAGGTTTTCTTCCCAATCAAAAGAACTTCCTTTTACATAATTACTTGAGAAACGTGCCCTCCTAAAATGCTATTTTTTTAAAAAAAAAAAAAGGGCAGGCAAGGTGGCTCACACCTGTAATCTCAGCACATTGGGAGGCCAAGGCAGGAGAACTGCTTGAGGCCAGGAGTTCAAGACCAATCCGGGCAACACAGGGAGACCTTGTCTTTATAAAAATTTTAAAAATTAGCTGGACATGGTGGTTCATGCCTGTGGTCTCAGCTACTTGGGAAGGTGAGGTAGAAAGATTGCTTGAGCCCAGGAGGTTGAAGCTGTAGTGAGCCCTGATTGCACCACTGCCACTGCACTCCAGCCTGGTCATAGAGAGAGATCCTGTCTCTCTCTCTCTCTCTCTCTCTCACACACACACACACACACACACACACACACACACACACAAAAGGCTTAGATAACCACAAGGACTGTATGTTAAACATTAAACCTACATTTAAATAACCAAATCATATTTTCTTGAATCCAAAATTATTCTGAAAAACAAAACAAAGAAATTTAAAGTCTCAAGGCTCCTAACGTCACAACAATGCTTCTGTAAAAATTTTCAGCTATTTAGGGGGGAAATACTAGTTCTAGTAAGTTTTCCAAAATAAAGATGTAATGAAAAATAGTATCTCAGAGTCCATCCCAGTCTTAAGATTTTAATACTCTACATAAACCATTCTTGTAGGCATTTTGAAAATATGACCTACTATGTTAAAACAGGGATATTCTCAAGGATCTAAAACTATCAGGCAGGTTAGGGATTCCAAACTAAACTTGGGCAATGAGCCTAAGCAAATTTCAATATAAACTATGCTTCCCAGCTTAGCTTAGTTTTCATAAATTTCTGAATATGTCAGCTTTGAGCAGATATCAGAGTATTTTTAATCTATCAAAGATAAAATACACAGAGTATAGTAACAATTACATTTTGAAAACAAAAATTTTATAAAGGTTTAATGATTTCAAAGTATATGCATTACTGCTCAGAAACCACAATTCATAGCATATATTTTTTAATATTAAAATGAACTCTTCCGGCCGGACATGGTGGCTCATGTCTGTAATCCCAGCACTTTGGGTGGCCAAGGTGGGTGGATCATGAGGTCAGGAGTTCAAGACCAGCCTGGCCAACATGGTGAAACCCTGTCTCTACTAAAAATACAAAAATTAGCCGGGTGTGGTGGCAGGCACCTGTAATCCCAGCTACTTGGGAGGCTGAGGCAGGAGAACTGCTTGAACCCAGGGGAGCAGAAGTTGCAGTGAGCTGAGATTGCGCCACTGCACTCCACCCTGGGCAACAGAGTGAGGCTCCATCTCAAACAAAACAAAACAAAACAAAACAAAACAAACTCCTCCATAAACTGAAATGTAAAGAGAATACACTATTACCTGGCATAGTCCTAGAGTAGAATGCAATGATTTAGCACTGACTCTAATTAAAATATTTAATATTGGCCTGGCAACGGTGACTCATGCCTGTAATCCCAGAACCCTGGGAGGCTGGGGTGGGTGGAGTGCTTGAGCTCTATCAGGAGTTCAAGACCAGCCTGGGCAACATGGCAAAACCCTATCTCTAGCAAAATACAAAAAGCCAGGTGTGGTGGTGCATCCCAGCTACTTAGTGGGTTGAGACAGGAAGACTGCTTGAGCCTGGGAGGTCGTAGCTGTGGCTAGCCAAGATCATGCCACTGCATTCCAGCATGGCTGACAAAGTGAGACACCGTCTGAGGAAAAAAAAAATTAACATCTATACTCTATTATAGATTACAAATATTCAAAGAACCAAGTGCTTAACAAAATACACTTATTGTTCTCTACCTTCCTATTTTCTTTAATTTCTGATCAGAATGTAAAGACGGGACAGAAGGTGTCTCCTGTCTCTCCTGAGACAGTAGAGTATGGAGTACTATCTTTTGATAATGGCAAGCTACCTTTCGGAATCTAACTTACTCTTCCTGAGAAGATTCTAGGGTACTTCAGGATACAACAAAAGAGAATTGTTATTTACATCATCCAGTAATGTACTATATAGAGATATGTGAAAGTGAGTAAGTATTTTACCTTCAGGAGTGGGTAAATTAGCTTTTATTATATGCGATTATTCTGTGAGGTGGGGGAAAAAACTCTCCATTAGGAGAAACTGGTGCCTCATAAAGTTAGCATCTTGGCCTTACAGTAATAAGGACTTTCTAACTTATTGTAATAAATGAAAGAACATATTCCCATAGGGCTTTAGCCATTATTAAGGAACAACTTCCATCTTAAGAAGCTTAGCTGAAAAAAGAAATAGGGGGAAAAAAGGACAAATGAACAATAAACTCTCAAAGAACTATAGGCAAAACAGTTCACATGCCGTTCAACAATCTGTCAATTTCTATATACTTAAAAGCATAAAGGTTAACCATGCCAGTCTAATCAGCCACTCTTTCACACACACAGCTACATTATTCTACAGTAACGTTATTAACCTACAGATAACTAAATATGACTTTCAAGTATAGTTTATCATAGTAACACTTTCTAATTTAAAATTTAAAAGTCAACACTTGGTCACGGTGGCTCACGCCTGTAATCCCAGCACTTTGGAAGGCCAAGGTGGGTGGATCACCTGAGGTCAGAAGTTCCAGACCAGCCTGGCCAACATGGTGAAACCCCATCAACTAAAAATATAAAACTAGCCAGGTGTGGTGGCGCACACCTGTAATTCCAGCTACTTGGGAAGTTGAGGCAGGAGAACAGCCTGAACCTGGGAGGTGGAGGTTGTAGTGAGCTGAGATAGTGCCACCGCACTCCAGCCTGGGCAACAGAGTGAGACTCCATCTCAAAATAAATAAATAAATAAAAGTCAACACTAATTTCAGTTTAACATTAGAATGAACATAAGTACTCATCTCTACTGTCTTCTGAAACCCTACTAAAGTGACAGTAAGGGGAATAAAAAAAAAAGCATATAAACTCATAAGGGGCCAGGCAGGGTGGCTCATGCCTGCAATCCCAGCACTTTGGGAGGCTCAGACGGGCGGATCACCTGAGGTCAAGAGTTAGAGACCAGCCTGCCAACACAGCAAAATCCAGTCTCTACTAACAATACAAAAATTAGCCTGGCCTGGTGGCACGCGCCTGTAATCCCAGCTACTCGGGAGGCTAAGGCAGGAGAATCACTTGAACCCAGGAGGTGGAGGTTGCAGTGAGCCGAGATTGAGCCACTGCACTCCAGCCTGGGTGACAGAATGAGACTCTGTCTCAAAAAAAAAAAAAAAAAAAAAAAAAAGTGAAAGGAAGGAAGGAAGGACGGACAGACGGATGGATGGATGGAAGGACGGACAGACGGATGGATGGATGGAAGGACGGAAGGACAGAAGTAAAGGGGTTTTACAGTTCTAATAGAAAATCTGGAATTACAGATGAGAATGACAAAGGAAACAACATAAAATGGAAAGAAAAAAAAAAAGAAAACTTCAGGAAAAACAAAAGATTTTCCAAGAAAGGTAATGTAATCATACACAACTGAGAAGAGTCAACATAGTATTTATATATAGTTAAAATAACATAAACACTTGATATTGCTATCACTATAATGGGAAAGATAAAGGAAGGGAAAATGGTGGTAAAGGTAAGGCTGAGTGGTATGAAAGAGCTAAACTCATGTTCCACAATAGTAAATCAATAGAAAATGCTAAAAATTTAAAAATCATTAACTAGCAATATGAGCACACTATTTAGAAATCTAGTGGTAAGTAATGTACCAGAAAACAAACAAGACTAGAGAGAGGAAATGTGGGAGGGAATAGGTAAAGCAAGAAACTACTGTTTCACATCATAAGCCTAGTATTAATAGTTTTTTAATTTTTAAAATTACATATACATACAGTATTACATTGATACAAGTAAATAAAAAACTTCAGAAAATAATGCTTTGCTGAGGACTGACCGGGAGTAGGAGGGCTACGTGGGGAAGGGTGAAAAAAAGCATTTACATTTTGTCCTTGGTTCTCACCCATTTATGCTTTGGGAAAATCATTCCCTGTCCCTTGCTTGCCAAGTGTGTACACGGTAAAACCAGGACAGGGTAAGAGCCCTGCTAGTATAAGGTTTTGTTTGGTTTTTTGAGGCAGGTTCTATCACCCAGGCTGGAGTACAGTGGCACAATCTCGGCTCACAGCAGCTTCAACCTCCCAGGCTCAAGCAATCCTCCCACCTCAGCCTCCCAAGCAGCTAGGGCTGCAGGCACATGCCACCATGCCCAGCTATTTTTTGTTTTGCCATGTTGCCCAGGCTGATTTCGAACTCCTGGGCTCAAGTGATCCGCCCACCTTGGCCTCCCAAAGTGCTGGGATTACAGGCATGAGGCACCTTGCCTAGCTGTAAGGTTTCAATGAAAACAGATGCAGGCTGACTGGCCATCCTCAGCATCCACTGTTCCAGCCTTTCCTCTTACAAGTTTCCTGGCTGGTAGATTATAATTTTAAAAGAAGGTCTCCTTCCACTACTGTCTAGGAGTTTCAAAGTACAACTGTGTCCAGTGTTGTTACATGGTAAAATGACAGCAATCAGGAATGATCAATGCTGATTTTGTGTTGCCTGGGGATCACCCTCCTCTCAGAAGCAGACAAGAACTTGAATCGAACTTGGATTTCCATTATTTCCCCAATATACATAACCAAACAGAGTAGCTGAAAACCCCAGGAAAAACAAACTCATGAACCAAAATAATTAATCACTCAAAGAGTACATACAACTGTATCAAAGATGGACAAAAACCAGATAAAATATACCATTCTGAATTCCTAAGTTTCTTAAACATATTATCATGCTTATTTTAAGTTCTTGGTCCATCTGTTCCAAAATCCAACAATGTTATCTACAAAACACAAAAAATGAGAGAAAAATATCACAGGAAAAAAATAAACTGAAGGAAAGCTGAAGAAACAATCTGATAAAATGAAATTCAAGACAAAAAAATGCCATGAGGGGCAGTATGTACTGCTAAAAGGAATAATAAAACAAGAAGATACAACCATAACAAACAAGCCTGCATGTTTGTGACCTAGAAATTACAGTAACAAAATATGTCAAGTAACAAATGAGAGAATGCAGAGAAAAATATATGAATTAACTATCATGGCCAGGAATGTTAATATGAATTAACTATCATGCCCATCATTGATGGTGATAATCTTAGCACTTTGGGAGGCTACGGTGGGTGGATCACTTGAGCCCAGGAGTTCAAGACCAACCTGGACAACATAGTGAAACTGCTTCTACAAAAAATAAAAAAATGTGGAGGTGGGTGCCTGCCTGTAGTCCCAGCTACCCAGGAGGCTAAGGCGGGAGGATCACCTGAGCCTGGGAGGTCAAAGCTGCAGTGGGCTGTGATCATGCCACTGCACTCCAGTCTGGGTGACAGAGTGAGACCCTGTCTTGGAAAAAAAAAAAAAAAAATTGCACTTGCAGATTTTAATACTCCCTTCTCAGAAACTAATCATGTAGAAAAAAATAAAAGTACTGAAGATCTAAACAATATAATTAACAATTCTGGGCTGGGCACAGTGGCTCACACCTGTAATCCCAGCACCTTGGGAGGCCGAAGCAGGCGGATCACGTAAAGTCAGGAGTTCAAGACCAAACTGGCCAACATGGTAAAACCCCGTCTCTACAAAAAAAATACAAAAACTAGCCGGGCATGGTGGCGGGCACCTGTAACCACAGCTACTTGGGAGGCTGAGGCAGGAGAATCGCTTGAATCCAGGAGGCGGAAGTTGCAGTGAGCTGAGATTGTACCATTGCACTCCAGCCTGGACGACAAGAGTGAAACGCCGTCTCGAAAAAAAAAAAAATTCTCAACAATTAGACAATATATAGAACTCTGTACACAGCAAAGATAAAGAAGGAAGTCTTTTCAAGTACACGTTTACAGCCATAAAGCAAGCCTCAATAAAATCCAAATAACCAGTATCACAGAGATCACATTAACTATGATATAATGAAATTAGATATTAATATCAAAAGTAGAGTTTTGTTAAAAAACCAATATATTTAGAAACTAAAACATACTAAGTGACTCGTGTTAAAAAGAAAAATAAAGGAAACTAAGAAACTTTGTCAAAACACTACATTTTGTGGGACACAGTTAAAACAATTCATAAAAAAGTTACACCATTAGGGGACGGGTGCAGTGGCTCATGCCTGTAATCCCAGCACTTTGGGAGGCCGAGGTGCTAGGATGGCTTGAGCCCAAGAGCTTGAGACCAGCCTGAGAAACACAGCAAGATCTGGACTCCACAAAATATTTTTTTTTAATTATCTAGGTGTGGTGGCACGTGCCAATATTCCCAGCTGGGTGACAGAGAGAGACCCTGTCTCAAAAAAAAAAAAAAAAAAAAAATTGGAAGGAAGTAACAAAAATAAGGTTGCTTGCACAGACCAATGACAACATGGGCCATAAAACTGAGGACTGTGATTAATCATCTGCGTCTGACATCTAGAAAGAATTAAGATGTTTGTGGATGGATAAATAAATCAGCAGAAATTTGAAAATGGTAAGAATATGTAATAGAATTAAAATAGAAAAGATAGGCTGGGCACGGTGGCTCACACCTGTAATCTCAGCACTTTGGGAGGCCAAGGCGGGCGGATCACCTGAGGCTGGGAGTTCGAGACCAGCCTGACCAACAAGGAGAAACCCCGTCTCTACTAAAACTACAAAATTAGCCGGGCATGGTGGTGCATGCCATAATCCCAGCTATTCAGGAGGCTGAGGCAGAACTGCTTGAACCCGGGAGGCAGAGGTTGCAGTTAGCCAAGGTCGCACCACTGCACTCCAGCCTAGGCAACAAGAGCAAAACTCCATCTCAAAAAAAAAAAAAAAAAAGAGAGAGAAAAGGTAAAGCCAGGTAAGTCTTGCTTTAGAAGAGAGAATCTTTTTTTTTTTTTTTGAGACAGAGGGAGAGAGAATATTTTTACATACTCAGAACCAAGTACAGATAGTAGGCCTTAAATAAATACTTGAAACAAATTTCTGAAGTGCTGGAAAATAGTTCCTACACAAATCATCCACATGGTTTCTCTTACTGCTAAAACAGTTGGGCCTTCCATCTTAACTGCTTTTTTTTCCTTTGTTAAAAATTAATTACAATTTTCATTTATTTATTTGAGACAGAGTCTTGCTCTGTTGCCTAGGCTGGAGTGCAGCAGTGCAATCTCAGCTCACTGCAACCTCCGCCTCCTGGGTTCAAGCAATTCTCATGCCTCAGTCACCCAAGTAGCTGGGATTACAGGTGTGCGCCACTGTATTCAGCTAATTCTTGTACTTTTAGTAGAGACAGGGTTACACCATATTGGCCAGACTGGTCTTGAACTCCTGACCTCAAGTGATCCACCTGCCTCGGCCTCCCAAAGTGCCTGAGCCACTGCACCCGGCCCCATACTTGTTAATATGAAGAAAACTTAAGATAAAATTAAAATCATCAATAGAACAGTAAACGCAGTTACCTACCATTCAGTATGGCCCTCACAGAGGCAAAGCAAGGCCTAGAAGAAGAAAATAGGCCACCTGTCTTAGAAAGCAAGGAAGCAAAGAATGGGTCTTTCTCATTCACAGCATTCTCCTCGCCCAATCTCCCAGGATTGTGCCAAAGAACTTGGCATCAACTAACCATACCTGAAATTGCTGCCAATGTGTGGAAGTCTTAGCCAGATTTGTCCCCATTTATATTTATACTCAAGTGGACAACTGTCACCAGGTGGCAGCAAACCACAGCTAGGACCAGGTCAGATTTGGATCATGCAGCTGGATTCCTGTAACTCCGGGCCAGCTAGAAATAACACTAGTGTGATCAAATTTTGTTTCTGAGATGGGGTCTGCTCTATCACACAGGCTGGAATGCAGTGGTGCAATCATAGCTCACTGCACCCTCAACCTCGCGGACTCAAGCGATCCTCCTGCCTCAACCTCCCAAGTGGCTGGGACTATAGGCACATGCCACCCCACCTGGTTAATGTTTTTTATTTTTTGTAGAGACAGGGTCTCACTATGTTGCCTAGGCTGATGTCGAACTCCTGGTCTCAGCAGTCCTCACCCTCACCCTCCCAAAGTGCTGGGATTACAGGCCTGAGCCACTGCACCCGGCCTAATTAAATATGTTGAACCCCACCTATCTCATTACGGTGGAGTCTTACTACCAATCAGATAATTATCCTGACCCTTCTAGATATGACTTTCTCGATGTAGATAATATTTTAATACTTTTATATAGTTATATATTAAAATAATACTATTTATGCCAATGTAATATGCATGCATGTAAAACACACTTTATGTGAATGTATACCATTACTACCCATTTAATGAAATAGGAGATGAGTCCATTGAGATATAAATAAATGAATAAATTAGAAGTTCAATAGCAATAGGATGTTTATGTAGTTTCAAAGCACCTCCTCACAAAATACTCATGAATTACAAGGAAAAAGTAACTTGATAGTGGAGAAGCTTGGCAAACATCTTCTAAGTGACCCAAGTGGACATCACCAGAAATGAGACAAATCAAAATCATGTACCACCTAAAAAGAATATAAAGAACATAGGGAAAATTTACCCAAATTGAAGGAGATTCCACAAAGTAAGTGACCTGTACTGCCGAAACTATAAAGGTCATGAAAGTCTAGGACATGACTAAGGAACAATTACAGGCTGAAAGAGACTACACAAACAGGATAACTAAAAGCAAATACTTGGCTCTGAACCAGATCCTTCTGCTATGAAGAACATTATTATAACTGACAAAACTAAATGGGGGCTGAGAATTATTAACTTCATAATTGTTGATAATAATTATAATGATGTGGAATGCACTTGTCTGTAGGAAATACACTTTAAAATATTCAGAGGAATGGTGAAACTATCAGAGGTTGGCAACTCACCCTCAAATGGTTCAGGAAAATAGTTCTTTGAATTTGTAAGTTTGTGGTTGTTTAAAAATTTTTATTTTAATTGTTTTTAAAAAGAGTGCCTACCAAAGGATACGAACAAACATACTACAATGTTTGCCTAAGGATTCAGAGGGGAATAGAAGTGGGAATGGAAGTAAAAAGAAATTAATACACATATGCATACCAACAAGCAAGAAAAGGCCTGGAAGGCCAAAATGTTTAAGAAGTATTAATGAGAAGTATGATTATGAACTGAACTCTAGAACAATAACCAAAAAATTTGGTTTAAGTAAATATTGGCCTAAGTGACTGCATCTGGGGGCAGGGCTCACCTGAAGTGTGGCTTTATGCTGGAGGTAACCATAGGAAGTAAACAAAAGACTCACTTTCTCTCCATTTTTATAAGAGCTGAAAGGGGTTGCTAGTGAATAATGGGGAAGAGTAGGGAACTGATTGTTCCTTATTGTAAGTCTTACACCACATGTTACTCTTAAAACTATATATGTGAACTATTTTTATAAATAAACAATTAAATGTAAAAAAGGAACAAAACAAGTTTGAAATCAGTAATATGAAGGCAAAAAGGAATCCCGATTGGCAGGATTTGTAGGGGCAGGCAAATTTAAGAGGTTAAGATTAAGCCAGAAGTCGGGAAGCTAGATATGCAAGTCAGTTATCAGCCATAAGGACACAGATGAAACTTGGTATTGCAGAGGGCATCAAACCATGAGTTTGGTAGGCTCGTCTGTTCAGCTGATTTATCAGGGAATAGTAGATCTAGTATCATGGAATGAAGAATGGTTACAGGTGACTGAGAAATGAAGCAACTAATGGCAGCCTCACGCCCAGTCTCTGCAGCGATCCTCTTTGCAGTTGCTGCCACTTTAAACACATCCACAGAATCTGGGCATCCCTAACTCCTAAGAGAAATTCTGACTTGATTTTTAGAGCTCTAGATCCTCAGCCTCAATCCAATCCTTAATGGTCTAATTACTGGACGCCAAGCTGAATACCACTGTGTGCTCTAATTCCAAAATTCTTGTTCTGATAGCATATTTAGTTTCTGCTTGCCATGCCCCACGTACTTCTCTCAAGGCTGTACTCTGTCACAGACTCCAGCCCAGTGCGTTTCTCTGGTCCTCTTACCAAACAACTGCCTGACAAATTTCTGTGTAAATATCCAAGTGTCACCTGCTTTGGAGGCAGGAAAAAATATAGATATAGGCAGACAAACTTGTATAGGCTGCAGAACCAGGAATGTAAACTAATCACTGAAACCTTGGACAACTCCCTGTGAACCTTAGTTTCCTATACATATAGAATTGGGTCAGTGGTACTTGTCTCATTGGGTTGGTGTAAGAAATACAAAGAGGGGGTCTGGTTCTGTTGCCCAGGCTGGAGCGCAGTAGTAAGATCTTGGCTTGGCTCACTGCAACCTCCACCTCTTGGGCTCAAGTCACCCTCCCATGTCAGCCTCCTAGGCAGCTGGAACTAGCAGCACATGCCACCACACCGCCTGACTTTTTTTTTTTTTTTTTAAGTAGAGATGAGGTTTCACCATGTTGTCCAGGCTGGTCTTGAACTCCTGAGCTCAAGCACCCTGCCTGCCTCAGCCTCCCAAAGTGCTGGGATTACAGGCGTCCATCCATACTCTTGATTCTTAAAACAACCCTATGAGGCAGTTATTATCAACAAACCTGTATTACAAATAAGGAAAATGAATACAAAGAATTTAAGAAACTTACACAGGGTCACACAGCTAAGTAACTAATGGTTGTTTGATATTACTTACATATCTCTTTATATATACCTATATATAACAGATATTTCTTTAAATATTCGGTATACATATATATGTTTGTGTATATACACACCTACACACACAAAAAGATAAGGATATTTCCCTACTCAGCACAGAGCAGTGCACATATTAATCACTCAATAAACAGGAGTTTATTTATTTATTTTTTTGAGACGAAGTTTTGCTCTTGTTGCCCAGGCTGGAGTGCAATGGCGAGATCTCGGCTCACCGCAACCTCCGCCTCCCAGGTTCAAGAGATTCTCCTGTCTCAGCCTCCCGAGTAGCTGGGATTACAGGCATGTGCCACCACGCCCGGCTAATTTTTGTATTTTTGGTAGAAACAAGGTTTCTCCATGTTGGTCAGGCTGGTCTCGAACTCCCAACCTCAGGTGATCCGCCCTCCTTGGCCTCCCAAAGTACTGGGATTACAGGCGTGAGCCACGGCACCCGGCCTAAACAGGAGTTATTATTATCTTTGTAGTTCTCTGATAAATTAAACAACTTTCTCATTTTAAGATTAGACTCGGCGGGTGTGGTAGCTCATGCATGTAATCCCAGCACTTTGGGAGGCCAAGGTGGTTGGATCACCTGAGGTCAAGAGCTCGAGACCAGCCTGGTCAACCTGGTGAAACCTGTCTCTACTAAAAATACAAAAATCTGCCAGGCGTGGTGGCAGGCACCTATAACAACCTCAGCTATTCGGGAGGCTAAGGCAGGAGAATTGCTAGAACCTGGGAGGCAGAGGTTGCAGCGAGCCGAGATCACGCCATTGCACTCCAGCCCAGGCTACAACAGCAAGACTCCATTTAAAAAAAAAAAAAAGATTTTATAGCTGTATGGTGTCAGAGCTAGAGGACAGAATTCAATCTTCTGTAGTCTTTTGAAACTGAGGTGATATACTAAGTCTTTTGAAAACTGTAACCCAGCCCCAACCTAAATCAATCCTTGACTGATTTGAGGTGAACAGCCCCACATCCTATCTACCTAGCAAAGGAAAGAGGGAGAAAGATATCATCTTAGTCTCCAGGATTATTTTGTATGCAAAGTCTGTATACAATTTAAAAAATTAAGAAGTATGGAAAGAGGGAGAATGACTGATAAGAGGAGAAAAAAGTACAGAAACAAATCCACAGATGATTCAGATATTGGAGCTGGCAAACGTGGACTTTAAAATGACTATGATTAGTATATTAAAAGAAAATAGAAGAAAAAATTGCACAAAATGAATTTATGAAATGACTTTTTGGAATGAATTTTAACAGAATACTGGAAACTATTTTAAAAATTTAAACCTGAAATACAGTACCTAGAATCTGTAACTCATTGGATAGACAGTATAAAACAGAATTAGTTAACTTAAATTCAGGTCAACAGGCCAGGCGCAGTGGCTCCTGCATGTAATCCCAGCACTTTGGGAGTCAGAGGCGGGTGGATCACCTGAGGTCAGGAGTTTGAGAACAGCCTGACCAACATGGTGAAACCCTGTCTCTACTAAAAATACAAAAAAAACTAGCCGAGTGTGGTGGCACATGCCTGTAATCCCAGCTACTTGGGAGGCTGCAGTAGCAGAATGGATTAAACACAGGAGGCAGAGTTGCAGTGAGCCAAGATCACGTCATTGCACTCCAGCCTGGGCAACAAGAGCAAAACTCCGTCTCAAAAAAAAAAAAAAAAAAAAAATTTCAGGTCAAATCCAAACTGAAGCACAGAAAACAAGGGCAAAAAGGACAGAACACAGTGTTGGAGACACACAGAACATAGTCAAAAATTCTACTATACGTAGGTTAATGAAGAAGAGAGAGAGAATGAAGCAGCAATATTTGAAAAGATAATGGCTATGAATTTTCTAAAACTAATGAAAGATAAAGAAGCTCAGTGAACCAAAGGCAGGAAAGAAAACCACACCCATGCACATCAAAGTTTAACTGTTGAAAACAAACACAAAGAGTAAATATTAAAAGCAGCCAAAAGAAAAAAGACATTACTTTAAATGCAGCAATAATAGCATTACTAAAAGAAATTAAGCAAGCCAGGGCCGGGCGCAGTGGCACACGCCTCTAATCCCAGCACTTTGGGAGGCTGAAGCAGGAGATCACTTGAGGCCAGAGTTCAAGACCAGCCTGGCCAACATGCTGAAACCCCACCTCCACTAAAAATACAAAAATTAGCCGGGCATGGTGGCGCATGCCTGTAATCCCAGCTACTCGGGAGGCAGAGAAGGAAAATCGCCTGAATTCGGGTGGCAGGGGTTGCAGTGAGCCAAGATCATGCCACTGCACTTCAGACTGGGCAACAGAGTGATACTCTGTCTCAAATAAATAAATAAAGCCAGAAAACAATAAAATGAAAACTTCATAGTACTGAAAGGGGGAAAAAAACCCAGCCTATAATTTTATATCCAGAAAAAAAAAAACCTTCAAAAAAAAAAAAAGCAAAATAAAGATGTTTTCAGGCAAATAAAAACTGAGACGGGTTGTTGACAGCAGATCTGCACTATAAAAATTATTAAAAGTTCACTAAGCTGAAGGAAAATCTCTCAGATAAAAGTACCACTTCAGGAAGAAATGAGAAACACTGTTAAGGAAAATATGTGGTTAAAATCAAAAGAATAATATTTGTGACACATAAAAACTATATAAAACTCAATAAATAAAGTTTTATTGGAAAACAACCATACTCATTCATTTATAACTTATCTGTGGCTGCTTTAATGCTACAATGGCAGAGTTTAGCAGTTGCAAGAGACCATATGTGGTGTTCTCATCACTTCACACTGCTGCATGATATACTACAAAATTACAGTGATATAGTAGCTATATTTGACAACGTTTTGAGAGCCACACATAATGCTGTACTGGGATATTTTATTTTTTATTGTCATTGCTTAACCCATCATATTAAAACCAAAAAAGAGAGAGAGAGAGAAAAGTGGACTTGAAATGTCATACTTTTAGGCGCAAGGAATGTTTTGTCAAATTAGATGACAAAGCATTGTCTTTATTATGCAATGACAATGTAACTATCCTAAAAAAAATACACTATTCATAGACATTACCAAATTACACTCATCACACAACAGTACCTAACTCACGGGAAAATAGTAGCAAAAAATTAGAATATTTTATTTTATTTTTGAGATGGAGTTTCGCTGTTACCTAGGCTAGAGTGCAGTGGTGCAATCTTGGCTCAGAGCAACCTCTGCTTCCTGGGTTCAAGTGATTCCCCTGCCTGAGCCTCCCAAGAAGTTGGGATTACAGGCTCGTGCCACCACACCTGGCTAATTTTTGTATTTTTTTTTTTTTTTGAGACGGAGTCTTGCTGTCACCCAGGCTGGAGGGCAGTGGCGTGATCTTGGCTCACCGCAAGCTCCACCTCCCGAGTTCACGCCATTTTCCTGCCTCAGCCTCCCGAGTAGCTGGAACTACAGGTACCCGCCACCTTGCCTAATTTTTTGTATTTTCAGTAGAGACGGGGTTTCACCATGGTCTTGATCTCCTGACCTCGTGATCCGCCCACCTCGGCCTCCCAAAGTGCTGGAATTACAGGCGTGAGCCACCGCGCCCAGCCAATTTTTGTATTTTTAGTAGAGACAGAGTTTCGCCATGTTGGCCAGGCTGGTCTCGAACTCCTGACCTCAGATGATCTGCCCGACTCAGCCTCCCAAAGTGCTGGGATTACAGGCGTGAGCTACTGTACCCGGCCTAGAAAATTCTAAATGAAGTATCTTATCACAGTAGAATTTCTTCATAAAATAATGAAAATAAAACAGCAACTAAATTAGGTGGATGGCTCATTTGTTAGCCTATCAAGAACCACTTACTAATGATTAGTTCATTAAATCATGTTTGATTATACCAGTCAAAGAAATGTATCCAGGCCAAGCTGGGTGCGGTGGCTCACGCCTATAATCCCAGCACTTTGGGAGGCCGAGGTGGGCAGATCACGAGGTCAGGAGATCAAGATCATTCTGGCTAACACAGTGAAACCCCGTCTCTACTAAAAAAATAGAAAAAATGAGCCGGGTGTGGTGGCGGGCGCCTGTAGTCACAGCTACTCGGGAGGCTGAGGCAGGAGAATGGCGTGAACCCGGGAGGCGGAGCTTGCAGTGAGCCAAGATCGTGCCACTGAACTCCAGCCTGGGTGACAGAGCAAGACTCCGTCTAAAAAAAAAAAAAAAGATTGTGCCACTGCACTCCAGCCTGGGCAACAAGAGTGAAACTCCGTCTCAAAAACAAAAAAGAAAAAAAGGAATGTGTCCAGAGGAAATAAGATTATTAGCTTTTTGGTGAGAACAGTTGCTCAGCAAGCTGAGGATACTGTAAGCAACATCAACAGTTGATTAAAAACCAAGGCAATGAAGGCAGGGCTTGGTGGCTCACACCTATAATCTCAGCACTTTGGAAGGTCGAGGCAGGCGGATCATTTGAGGTCAGGAGTTCAAGACCAGCCTGACCAACATGGTGAAACCCCGTCTCTACTAACAATACAAAAAAATTATCCAGGCGTGGTGGCACACGCCTGTAATCCCAGCTACTCCGGAGGGTGAGGCAAGAGAATCGCTTGAACCCGGGAGGTGGAAGTTGCAGTGAGCCAAGATCACACCACTACACTCCAGCCTGGGCCACAGAGCAAGACTGTCTCAGAAAAAGAAAAAAAAAGGCAAATGATTTTGAGTGGTTTTCCTTGGCTCTAGAGGACTCAACATATGTTACTGATACAGCTCAGTTGTTTATTTGAGCAGTCAATACAGACTTCGAAGTGACTGAATAATTAGCCTCTCTAATGAATGTTTGGAACAACACCACCAAGAATATTTTCAAACTTGAATAAACACTAATTCAGTTCAACCTTAAATGGAATCTGCTAAAGAAACATTACAACTGATGGTAAAAAAAAAAAAAAAAAAAAAAAATAGATGTGGGACAGCTAGGCGTGGTGGCTCACGCCTGTAATCCCAGCACTTTGGGAGGCTGAGTCGGGCGGATCATCTGAAGTCAGGAGTTCGAGACCAGCCTGACCAACATGGTGAAGACCTGTCTCTACTGAAAATACAAAATCAGCTGGGCATGGTGGCGCACACCTGTAATCCCAGCTACTGGGGAGGCTGAGGCAGAAGAATCGCTTGAACCCGGGAGGCGAAGGTTGCAGTCAGCGGAGATCGCGCCACTGCACTCCAGCCTGGGCGACAAGAGTGAAACTCTCTCAAAAATACTTATATATATGTGTGTGTGGAACAGAAAAAGGCTTATTAATTGGACAAATTAATAAAACTTATGAAAATATAAAATGTAATAAAGTGTTTCAAGCTTATGGTTACTCACTGTATTATTCATCAGCAGGTACTGATGGCAGTGATGTTTTAACTGCAATTTTTTGAGCTTGGGATCAAGACAAATTTTTCTGAAGAAGTAACCTCAACTATCATTATAGAATACTAAATGGCCTTGGAAATCAGCTTTTTTACTGCAAGGTTGATAATACCTCTTAATAGATTTTTAAACTAAAATTATATGACAAATAGCACTTATGTACAAAACTTATGCAGTGGTAAAACCCAAAATATTTGGATGAAAACAAAGGTTGTCTGAATTATAAGTAATGTCAAACATCTCTATAAACTTCCTGTCTTAAACAAAAGTTAAAACAAGAAGTAGGCTGGGCGCAGTGGCTCACGCCTGTAATCCCAGCACTCTGAGAGGCCAAGGCAGATCATTTGAGGTCAGGAGTTCAAGATCAGCCTGGACAACATGGTGAAACCCCATCTCTACCAAAAATACTAAAATTAGCCAGGTGTGGTGGCGCGAGCCTATAATCCCAGCTACTAGGGGGGCTGAGGCAGGAGGATCGCTCAAACCCAGGAGGCAGAGGTTGCAGTGAGCTGAGATCATGCCACTTCCCTCTAGCCTGGGAGACATAGCCAGACTCCATCTCAAAAAAAAAAACAAAAAAGTTAAAACAAGAAGTAAAACCTCCATTTCCAGACAAATTTGCTATGAATGTATTTTCCTTTTTTTCTACTTGCTGCATTACTACTAATGAAGTAAGTTGAGTGATTTTTTTTTTAAAAAGAGGTCTGCTTGCCTGGGCATGGTGGCTCACACCTGTAATCCCAGCACTTTGCAAGCCCAAGGTGGGCAAACCACCTGAGGTTAGGAGTTCGAGACCAGCCTGGCCAACATGGTGAAACCCCATCTCTACTAAAAA
Organism: Homo sapiens; assembly: GCF_000001405.40. Taxonomy (NCBI): domain Eukaryota; kingdom Metazoa; phylum Chordata; class Mammalia; order Primates; family Hominidae; genus Homo; species Homo sapiens. Next base: position 33,843,223 of record NC_000009.12, on the reverse strand, counting down.
TACAAAAATTAGCTGGGCGGGATGGCGCATGTCTGTAATCCCAGCTATTTGGGAGGCTGAGGCAGAAGAATCGCTTCACCCCCAGGAGGTGGAGGTTGCAGTGAGCCAAGATCGTGCCACTGCACTCCAGCCTGGGCGACAGAGCAAGACTCTGTCTTAAAAAAAAAAAAAAAAAAAAAAAGTGGTCTGTTTTTTTTTTTTTGTAAACACGGTCTCACAACTGTCACTCAGGCTGCCATGCAGTAGCACGATCACAGCCTGGGCTCAAGCCATCCTCCCACCTCAGCCTTCCAAGTAGCTGGAACTACAGGCATGTGTCATGGCATGTGGCTAGAATATATTTCCTGAGCTCAAATTGCAGCTTCAGCAGTGTTTTTCAGACCTTCAGCCAAGTACAAAAGGAAATTTATATACATCAAAATCCAGTTAACTGTGCAATTGTAGCGCTTCCACGTACTCTTTAATTGGAAGTGATTAATCTACACTACAATGGCATGCTAAAAAGCAAATATCAAGAGAAGAATCTAACAGAATTCTATATACTCCCTCCCAAGCAATAAATATCACAATGAAAATCATATGCCCATGTACTAGTATCTGCATTTAGCAGTACCAATCTGTATGAAGACATTTTCAAAGAGGAAATCTCATTCGAGATCAACATGAGCAATCCATTTTAATGAAAACAATAACCTTATTAAGTGATGCAATTATCCATCCCTCCAAAATTAATTCAATTCTTAATGAGACCTGCATTACCAAAAAAAAAATTTCAATTATTTTTATTTGAATTTTGTCAATACAAATTGGTGGAAATTTATCTTCTCTCTTGTAATATAAATCTGTCACCCCAGGCTGGAGTGCAGTGCCATAAGGCTCACTGCAGCCGCAACCTCCCAGGCTCAGGTGATCCTCCTACCTCAGCCTTCCGCGTATCTGGGACTACAGGTGTGCACCACCATGCCCAGCTAATTTTTTTTTATTTTTGTGGAAACAAGGTCTCACTATGTCACTCAGGCTGGTGGAGAATTCCTGGGCTCAAGTGATCCTCTGACCTCGGCCTTCCAAAGTGCTGGGATTACAAGTATGAGCCACTTTGCCCACCCTAAATATAGTATCTTTAATTTTGCCTCCGGGCCTGCAAAAATTAAAACATCTGCTACCTGGCCTTTTACAGAAAAAGAATGCCAGCCACTGAACTATATAATTACTTACAGAATAAAAACAAATTAAGGTTGAAAGAGAATATTGCATGTAATGAATAATCTGACAAGATAGATATAATACAGATATGATGATGTCGGGGGGTGATGAGGACAGCATACATGAAACAATTTATGCAACTATTCTCAGCAATCACATTGGTTATGGTATTATTAGTATTGCTATTCTGAGACTACTGTGTAATATACGAGAAAACAAGCGAGTAATTAATAATGAGGATATTCTAGTTCATTATTCCCTATCCTTGAGAACCAGAATTTTTAACATGGAAAAATATACACCGATGTATTATAATACAGAAGTGGTTAAGTTTTATAAAAAAGCATGTGTACAGATATACACATATACATATATATCACCCATAACTCTGTCCTAGAAACAATGACAACTCACAGCAGCAATAATCTCTAAGGTCCATATTAGGCGCCCTAAATACCTCTGCCACTAAAACCAGGGCTTGTTGAAGAAATAATAGGTTATAAATCTGGGGTAGAAACTGTAAAAGATAAGCCTGCAACACCTGGTCATACCAGATAGCAAAGATGCTACGAAAACTACAAGAAGTAGACCAAGTCATTCAGGAGTCAACTTGAAGAAGCTCCAACTGGCCAAAGACATAAGGCTGGGCGCAGTGGCTCACGCCCGTAATCCCAGCACTTTGGGAGGCCGAGGCAGGTGGAACACCTGAGGTCAGGAGTTCGAGACCAGCCTGGCCAACATGGTGAAACTCCGTCTCTACTAATAATCCAAAAATTAGCCAGGCATGGTGGCACACGCCTGTAATCCCAGCTACTCGGGAGGCTGAATCAGAATAGCTTGAACCCGGGAGGCAGAGGTTGCAGTGAGCCGAGATCGCACCACTGCACACCAGCCTGGGGGATAAAGCAAGACTTCGTCTCAAAAAAAAAAAAATCAGGCGTGGTGGCAGGTGCTTATAATTCCAGCTACTCGAGAGGTTGAGGCAGGAGAATTGCTTGAACCCGGGGGGCAGAGGTTGCAGTGAGTTGCGATGGCCCCACTTCACTCCAGCCTGGGTGAAAGAGTGAAACTCCATCTCAAAAAAATTAATTAATTAAATTAAATTAAATAGCTGGTTCTCTTAGAGAATAATAGGGAACTAAGTCACTATTTTGAAAAAAGAATAAATAAAGGCAAAGAATCAAGTATATATCCTACCTTTCCTATATAACTGTGCCACTGGATAACTGAACAGCAGGTAAGCAGAAGCATCTCTTAATAAAAGTATTCCAACAAAAAATTTTAAAAAAACCCACACAATTAGAATGTCACTATTTTTAAACCATTGATAAATTAATGGATCTGGGCACTGAGCCCAACAACTGCGGACATGATTTAAAAAAAAGAGAAAACCAGACTTCTGCCTCCCCATGAAAGAACACAACACTGCCTACAGTATTGCTAAAGAGACCGAACCAGAGTCTGACCAAGTCTCTGAGTTCAGTAACCAATTTGCAAAATATACAAGGAATGAAGAAAGATGCAACATGAGTGTACAATCAGTAAAATTCAAACTTTGGTTAACTCTCCCTGGGTTCTTCAACATAAAAACTAAGGAAAAAAAAGGGATAGAGGCATAAACTGTGGTTTAAAAGACATCATAACACTAAATAAAATATAATGTCTAAGAATGTACACGGTGATAAAACTATAAAAGAAAAGGAAATGACTGAGAGAGAGTGAAGTAGTGGTTATTTTTCTTTTTTGGGAGGTGAGTTACAACTGAAATGGAACACATGGATGGCTCCTGGATGGCTGAAAAGTTCTGTTTCTTGAACTGGGGATATGGATATTCGCCTTATTTTTTAAAAAAAGAAAAAGGGGAAAAAGCACTATCTGTATGTTTGTGAAAGAGACGTTTTCTGCTAATTTTACATACAAATATTAAAAGCAACTTAGAAAACATACCTACTTAGTTCATTCAAGCTGCTATACCAAAAGTCATAAACTGGGTGGCTTATAAACAACAGAATTTTTTTTTTTTAAGAGTCAGGGTCTCACTCTGTCACCCAGATTGGAGTACAATGGCACAATCATAGCTCACTGCAGCCTCAAACTTCTGTGCTCAAGCAATCCTCCAACCTCAGCCTCCCAAGTAGCTAAGATTACAGGTAGACCACCACACTTGGCTAACTTATTAGATTTTTTTGTAGAGACAGAATCTTGCTATGTTGCCCAGGCTGGTCTTAAACTCCTGATCTCAAGCAATCTTCCCACCTCAGCCTCCCAAAGTGCTAGGATTATAGGCATGAGCCACCACTCCTAGCTTAAACAACAGTAATTTATTTCTCACAGTTCTGGAGACTGGGAAGACCAAGACACCAACAAATCTGGAGTCTAGTAAGGGCCCATTCTTCATATACGATGCCTTCTTGCTGCATTCTCAAGTAGTGAAAAGGACTAGCTAGCTCTCTGGGGCCTCTGTCATAAGAACACTAATCTCAGGCCCAGCACGGTGGCTCACACCTGTACTCCCAGCACTTTGGAAGGCTGAGGCGGGTGGATCACCTGAGGTCAGGAGTTCGAGACCAGCCTGGCCATCATGGCGAAACTCCGTCTCTACTAAAAATACAAAAATTAGCCAGGTGTGGTGGCAGGAGCCTGTTATCTCAGCTACCTGGGAGGCTGAGGCAGGAGAATTGCTCGAACCTGGGAGGCAGAGGGTGCAGTGAGCAGAGACCCTGCCATTGCAGTCCAGTCTGGGCAACAAGAGTGAAACTCCGTCTCAAAACAAAAACAAAAACACAAACACTAATTTCATTCATGAAGCCAGAGCCCTCACGACGTAATCACCTCCCAAAAGCCAGACCTCCTTATACTATCACATTGGGGATTATGTTTCAACATATGTCTTTTGGGGATACACATTCAGACCACAGCAACTTTTTTTTTTTTTTTTTGAGACAGTGCCTCGCTCTGTTGCCTAGGTTGGAGTACAGTGCCTCGATCTCAGCTCACTGCAACCTCCATCTCCCAGGTTCAAGCAATTCTCCTGCCTTATCCTCCCGAGTAGCTGGGATTACAGGTGCGCTCCACCATGCTCGGCTAGTTTTTGTATTTTTAGTATAGACCAGGTTTCTCCATGTTGGCCAGCTGGTCTCGAACTCTTCATCTCAGGTGATCCACCCACCTCGGCCTCCCAAAGTGCTGGGATTACAGGCGTGAACCACCACGACTGGCCAGACCACAGCAACTATGTAAAACAATAATACTGTTGCTTTAGAGGTTTATAAGAAAATATACCATCAATAGGGCAAAGGACAAGAAGGAGGTAAAGAGCTAAATGTACGGTTCTTGCATTTCCTGGGAAGTAATAAAACCAACTAACATAAACTAAACTGTAGTAAATTAAGAATCCATAATCCACCTGTCTCAGCCTCCCGAAGTTCTGGGATCACAGGCGTGAGCCACCATGCCCAGCCAAGATATACACATTTTATTGTATGTACATACACCTCAATTTAAAAAAAAACTATTAAGCAGATTAACATTAGCAAACATCTCAGGAAAGTTTACCATGAAACACTTAAAATACAACTCAACGTGAAGAAAACAGTCCATGCAGGAAAAGTAAAATGTATTAAAAATGTATATATATATGTACATACATATATATAAACATTATATACGTATACACAGTAGGCCCTCCATATCCCTGGGTTCTACCAACAGTGGATCAAAAATATTCAAGCGAAAAAAAAACAAGAAAAAAAAAACAGTAAAAAAAGCAATAAAAAATAATACAAACTAAAAAATACAGCTAGACTGCCACTGCACTCCAGCCTGGGCAACAGAGCAAAACTCCATCTCAAAAAAATAAATTAAAAAAATAAAGCATATGGGAGAATGTGCACAGGTTAAATGTAAATACTATATCATTTTATATAAGGGACTTGACCATTCAAGATTTTGGTATCAGTGGGGGTCCTTGGAACTCCCCCTATGGATACTGAAGGACAACTGTAAATAATGGCTTATATATGAGACATATAATTACACATACATAAAACTATGTATACTTCTATATAAGCTATATATATTTACCTATATATCTGTATATACATGATGTCTTCAGGGAGTTAATAGGAGAAACGACAACCATGATCAAGACATCAAAACCAAGACATCAAAAACAGAATGTTGGCTAAGCCCAGTGGATCACACCTGCAATCTTAACACTGTAGGAGGAATGCTTGAGCCCAGAGTTTGAGACCAGCCTGGGCAACATATTGAGACACTGTCTCTATTAAAAAACAAGAACAGGCCAGGTGTGGTGGCTCTGTAATCCTAGCACAATGAGAGGCTAAGGCAGGTAGATCAATTGAGCTCAGGAGTTCAAGAACAGCCTGGGCAACACAGCAAAACCCATCTCTACTAAAAATATAAAAATTAGCTGGGTGTGGTAGCAGGTGCCTACAGTCTCAGCTACTTAGGAGGCTGAGGTGGGAGAATCTCTTGAGCCCAGGAGGCAGAGGTTGCAGTAAGCTATGTTCGCACCACTGCACTCCAGCTTAGGCAGCAGAGCAAGAGCAGACCCTGTCTCAAAAAAAAAAAAAAAAAAGAAGCAGCAGCTGCCTAAACTGAAAATAAGAGGCTGGGCACAGTGGCTCATACCTGTAATCACAGCACTGTGCATGGTCGGGGCTGAGATAAGAATATCGCTTGAGCCCAGGAGGCTGAGGCTGCAGTGAGCCTTGATCGCACCCCTGCACTCCAGCCTAAGCCACAAAGCAAGATTCTGTCTCAAAAACAAATAAAGGAAAAAAAAGAGAAAAAGATATGTTAATTAGAAGAATTAATTCAGACTGTTCTATATCCAGATAATGGGTGCTCCCCAAAAAACATGAGGAAAAACATAGAGGAGAAAATATCTTGAAATAATTCAAGAAAATTTCCCAATGCTGAAAAACATGAGTTTAAAAGTACCTACAGCAATGTGAAATTTAAGAAATCAGGGACACACAGAGTCCTGCAAACTTCCAGAAGAAAAAACTCTTCACATACCATGCACAGGATTTAGAACATTCTTGAATTTCAAACATCATCTTTGGAACTAAGAACCCAATACAGTAATGTCCTCGAAATTCTAAAGCTACAGGATTTCCAATCTAGAATTCTATACCCAGCCAAGTAATTTCAAGTATAAAGTTAGAATAAAGCTTCAAAAAATTTACCTGCTAGGCACACTTCCTCAAGAATATATATATATATATTTTTTTTTTTTGAGATAAGAGTCTTGCTCTGTTGCCCAGGCTGGAGTACAGTGGCATGATCTTGGCTCACTGCATCCTCTGCCTCCCAGGTTGAAGTGATTCTCCTGCCTCTGCCTCCCGAGTAGCTGGGACTACAGGCATGTGCCACCATGTCTGGCTAATTTTTTGTATTTTTAGTAGAGATGGGGCTTTGCCATGTTGGCCAGGATGCTCTCAAACTCCTGACCTCAAATGATCTGCGTGCCTCTGCCTCCCAAAGTACTGGGATCATAGGCATGAGCCACCAAGCCCAGCAAAATATTCTAAAATTGACTGTGGTGATGATTGCACAATTCTGACTAAAAACCACTGAATTACAGTCATATGTTGCCTAATGACAGGAATATGTTCTGAGAAATGCATCATTAGGCAATTTCATCATTGTGTGAACATCATACAGCATGCTTACACAAAAATGGTATACTTGTACCTAGATGGTATAGGCTCCTACACATCTAGGCTATATGGTATAGCCTATTGCTCCTAGGCTTCAAACCTGTACAGCATGTTACTATACTGAATATTGTAGGTGAGTAGCTGGGATTATAGGCGCCTCCCACCACGCCCAGCTAATTTTTCTATATTTTTAGTAGAGACAGGGTTTCACCATGCTGGCCGGGCTGGTCTCAAACTCCTGACCTCAGGTGATCCATCTGCCTCGCCCTCCCGAAAGTGCTGGGATAACAGGCGTGAGCCACTGTGCCCAGCCCACAATTCTTATACTATACAAACTTTTAACTTTTTGACCTTTGAAACAACACTTAGCTTCTTAGCTTAAAACGAAATCACACTATACAGCTGTACAAAAATAACTCATATCTTTACTTTCTTCTACAAGCCTTTTTTAGAGAAAGGGTCTCACTCCGTTGCCCAGGCTGGAGTGCAGTAGTGCAATCATAGCTCACTGTAACCTTGAATTCCCAGGCTCAAATGATCCTCCCACCTCAGCCTCCTGAGTAGTTGGGACTACAGGTGCGTGCCACCAGGCCTGGCTGTTTTGTTTTTTTTTTTGTAGAAACGGGATCTCCCTATGTCACCCAGGCTGGTCTTGAACTCGTGGGCTCAAGTGATCCACACACCTCAGCCTCCCAAAGTGCTCAGATTACAGGTGTAAGCCACTGTGCCTGGCCAACTCTGTCTCAAAAACAAACAAAAATTGTAAGGACATATAAAGTTTCCTGCGACATCTTTTGTATTAAGGAAAAGGCTGAAACAACTTAAGTGTCCAGCAATAGAAATGAAGTACAGCATATACACTACACGGCATTTAAAAACTACACTTAGGCCGGGCTCAGTGGCTCAAGCCTATAATCTCAGCACTTTGGGAGGCTGAGGCAGGTGGATCACCTCAGGTCACCAGCTGAAGACCAGCCTGACCAATATGATGAAACCTTGTATCTACTAAAAATACAAAAATTACCCAGGCATGGTGGTGGGTGCCTGTAGTCCCAACTACTCGGGAGGCTGAGACAAGAGAATCACTTGAACCTGGAGACAGAGGTTGCAGTGAGCCAAGATCATGCCATTAAACTCCAGCCTAGGCAACAGAAAGAGATTGGGTCTCAAAAAAAAAAAAAAAAAAAACCTACACTTAGACATGCATGTTCTCTCATGAAAAGATAGCTAAAACATATTCATATTAAGTTTCAAAACATATTACAAACCAGTTTATGTAATATGTTCCCAACATGCATATCTGGAAGGACAAAAAGGAAATACTCATTACTCTGGGAAATGTGATTGTGGGTAATTTCTCTCTTTTTCTATTTGTTTATCAATATTTTCTTTTCTTTTCTTTTCTTTTGTTTTTTTTTTTCCTGAGACAGAGTTTCGGTCTTGTTGCCCAGGCTGGAGTGCAACGGCACGATCTCGGCTTACTGCAACCTCCACCTCCCGGGAACAAGGGATTCTCCTGCCTCAGCCTCCCGAGTAGCTGGGATTACAGGCATGTGTCACCACATCCGGCTAATTTTGTATTTTTAGTAGAGATGGGGTTTCTCCACGTTGGCCAGGCTGGTCTCGAACTCCTGACCTCAGGTGATCCACCTGCTTCAGCCTCCCAAAGTGCTGGGATTACAGGTGTGAGCCACCGTGCGAGGTCTATATTTTCTAATTTTTATATAATGAATAGGTTTTATAAATATAATTAAATAGTAGCTATTTAACAGCTAATATCGTGACAAGGTCATGGAAGATGGTGGACTAAGGAGCTCCAGGAAGGCTGGGCGTGTGGCTCACGCCTGTAATCCCAACACTTTGGGAGGCCAAGGTGGGCAGATCACCTAAGGTCAGGAGTGCGAGACCAGCCTGACCAACACGGTGAAACCCGTCTCTACTAAAAATACAAAAAATCAGCTGGGTGAGGTGGTTTGTGCCTATAATTCCAGCTACTCTACAGCTACTTGGGAGGCTGAGGCAGGAGAGTCACTTGAACCCGGGAGACGGAGGTTGCAGTGAGCCGAGACTGAGCCATCACACTCCAGCCTGGGCAACAGAGCGAGACTCTGTCTCCAAAAAAAAAAAAAGAAAAAAAAAAAGAAGCTCCAAGAATCCGTCACTACACCTAAACAACCACTGAGCTGGTAGGAATTGTCTAAAGTAACTACTGTGGGACTCTAGAGTCTACCAAACATTTACAGCATCCAAAAGAGAACGGCATGATTCACAATAACCCAAAGGTGGGAACAACCCAAGCATCCATCAACAGATGAATTATACAAACAACGGAATGTTATTCAGCCATTAAAAGGGATGAAATTCAGAGACATGCTACAACATGGATGAATCTTGAGATAATTATACTAAGTGAAATAAAACAGACACTAAAGGACAAATATTTTATGACTCCACTTCTACAAGGTGCCCAGAATAAACAAATTCATAAAGACAGAAAGGAGAATTGAGATTACCAGAGAATGAAGGCAAGGGGGAAAAATTAGTTACTATTTAACAGCTTCAAAGTTTCAGTGTGGAATGAAGAAAAAGTTTAGAAAATAGGTCATGATGCTGGTTACACTTCACAGTGAATATACTTAATGTCACTGAACTGTACTCTTAAAAATGGTTAAAATGGTAATTATATGATTCACCACAATCAAAATAAAATGCTATGTCGTAAAATGTAACTGAGAAGTGACAGATGGAGTTTAAATCCTTCTTTTCATATAATCTTCCATTACTTAGAACATTTTTTATTGTTAAGTAATGCTGAAGCTCTTACAAGAAACGACCATATCAGCCGGGCACAGTGGTTCATGTCTGTAATCCCAGCACTTTGGGAGGCCGAGGCAGGTGGATCACCTGAGGTCAGGGGACCAACCTGGCCAACATGGTGAAACCACGTCTCTGCTAAAAACACAAAAATTAGTCGGGCGCGGTGGCTCACGCCTGTAATGCCAGCACTTTGGGAGGCCAAGGCAGGCGGATCACGAGGTCAGGAGATCAAGACCATCCTGGCTAACACGGTGAAACCCCGTCTGTACTAAAAATAAAAAAAAATTAGCCAGGCACGGTGGCATGTGTTTGTAATCCCAGCTACTCGGGAGGCTGAGGCAGGAGAATCACTTGAACCCAGGAGGCGGAGGTTTCACTGAGCTGAGATCGTGCCACTGCACTCCAGCCTGGGCAATACAGCAAAATCCTTTCTCAAAAAAGAAAAACCTCATAATTTTCAAATTAGTAGAATCCAAATTAGTGAGGACTCATTGTACCACACAAATAATAACTCTGAGTCCTCAGAGCCATTTTCCTCATATTTTAAGAAAAAAGAGTAACTTCATTTTCTTCTCACATAGACAAATTTGGTATAAAAACTGCCCTGCTGTGGTCATCTTTTTCTTTAAAAAACTGAATGTGACTATACATTTATCAAAATTCATAGAACTATGTAACTAAAAAGATTAATTTTAATGTATAAATTATACCTCCATAAACCTGACTACTTAAAACTATAATAGAATTTAATTAAAGTTTTGATTCTGAGAGCATTAAAAAAAACCTTGAAAAAATTTAATTAAAGTTCAACCAAAGAGTATTAAATAATTTCTTTCTTTCTTTCTTTTTTTTTTTTTTAGACGGAGTCTCACTCTTGTTGCCCAGGCTGGAGTGCAGTGGCACAATCTCGGCTCTCACCGCAACCTCCGCCTCCCAGGTTGACGTCATTCTCCTGCCTCAGCCTCCCAAGTAGCTGGAACTACAGGTGCTGGCCGCGAAGCGCAGCTAATTTTTTTGTATTTTTAGTACAGACGGGGTTTCACCGTGTTAGCCAGGATGGTCTCGATCTCCTGACCTTGTGATCCGCCCACCTCAGCCTACCAAAGTGCTGGGATTACAGGCATGAGCCACAGCGCCCGGCCGAAAAAATTTGATTAAAGTTCAACCAAAGGGTATTAAATAATTTCTTTTCTTTTCTTTTTTTTTTTGAGATAGATTTTCGCTCTTGTTGCCCAGGCTGGAGTGCAATGGCGCAATCTCAGCTCACTGCAACCTCTGCTTCCCGGGTTCAAGCGATTCTCCTGCCTCAGCCTCTGAAGTAGCTGGGATTACAGGCACGCACCACCACGCCTGCCTAATTTTGTATTTTTAGTAGAGACGGGGTTTCTCCATATTGGTCAGGCTGGTCTCGAACTCCCAACCTCAGGTGATCCGCCCACCTCGGCCTCCCAAAGTGCTGGGATTACAGGCATGAGGCACTGCACCCGGCCTAAATAATTTATTAGTGATTGCTATCGTTGATTCAATGAATCAAGCTTAAGAATACCTGGGTCACAGGTCGGGCGCGGTGGCACACGCCAGTAATCCCAGCACTTTGGGAGGCTGAAGCAGGCAGATCACCTGAGTTCGGGAGTTTGAGACCAGCCTGATCAACATGGAAAAACCCCATCTCTACTAAAAATACAAAAAATTAACCGGGCGTGTTGGCAGGCACCTATAGTCCCAACTACTAGGGAGGCTGAGGCAGGAGAATGGCATGAACCTGGGAAGCGAAACTTGCAGTGAGCCAAGACCGCGCCTCTGCACTTCAGCCTGGGCGACATAGTGAGACTCCGTCTCAAAAACAAACAAATAAAATAAAATAAATAAAATAAGAGTTCGAGACCTGCCTGGCCAACATGGTGAAACCCCATCTCTACTAAAAATACAAAAATTAGCCAGGTGTGGTGATGCATGCCTATAATCCCAGCTACTCCAGAGGCTGAGGCAAGAGAACAGCTTGAACTTGGGAGGTGGAGGTTGCAGTGAGCCGAGATGGCGCCACTGCACTCCAGCCTGGGAGGCAGAGCAAGACTCTGTCTCAAACAAACAAACAAAAAGTATTAAGTCATAAGAAGGAAAATATTCTTTTGAATAACAAAACTCTTTTGTTTTGCCTTATTGCATATATCAGGTATGATTACAAGTAAACTTAAAAATCTGTTTTTTAAGATTTAAGCCACTGTTTCTTTTTTCTTTGTAGAGATGGGGGTCTCACTACGTTGCTCGGCCAGTCTTGAACTCCTGGGCTCAAGAGATCCACCAGCCTCAACCTCCCAAAGTGCTAGGATTACAGGTGTGAGGCACAACACCCAGCCACCAGTCTGTTTCTGTGAAGAACTACTACATATTTTCCAAGTTTTTATAACTTTACCTATTCTTTTTTTTTTTTTTTTTTTTTTTGCTAGTTCAGTGAAACAGAGGGAATGAAGAAGAAACTAAGCAATCTGTAACTGGTTGTGATCAATAGGTTGTAAATACCACTGCACTCGGACCAGCCTACTCTACTCATTCTTAATATTATCTTATAAATGGAACCACAGTTATTTCAACAAGGTAGAAATTATTCAATGTTTAAAACCCAAATTACTATGTTTGCTACTAAATGAGCCAATATGAATTATTTTATGGGACTTATCCCTCAAATTAAATACCAGCTGCCCATGCAACAAATAAGCAAAGCAGATATCTCTTTTTTTTTTTTTTCCTTTGAGAGGGATTCTTGCTGTGTCCCCCAGGCTGGATTGCAGTGGCCGATCTTGGCTCACTGCAACCTCTGCCTCCCGGGTTCAAGAGATTCTCCTGCCTCAGCCTCCCAAGTGGCTGGGATGAGAGGCGCACAACACCACGACAGGCTAATTTTTGTATTTTCAGTAGAGACGGGGGTTTCACGATGTTGGTCAGGCTGGTCTCGAACTCCTGACCTCAGGTGATCTGCCCACCTCGACCTCCCAAAGTGCTGGGATTACAGGCATGAGCCAACGCGTCCAATCAGCAAAGCAGATATCTAAAGAATTATGAGGCCGGGCGCAGTGGCTCATGCCTGTAATCCCAGCACTTTGGGAGGCCGAGGCGGGCAGATCACATGAGGTCAGGAGTTCGAGACCAGCCTGGCCAACATGGTGAAACCCCGTCTCTACCAAAATACAAAAATTAGCTGGGCATGGTGGCATGCGCCTGTAGTCCCAGCGACTCGGGAGGCTGAGGCATGAGAATTGTTTGAATCCAAGAGGTGGAAGGTGCAGTGAGCTGAGGTCACGCAACTGCACTCCAGCATGGGTGACAGGGCAAGACTCTGTCTCAAAAAAAAAAAAAAAAATTATGAAACTTGGAAATCCAAATGCAGAATAAATTAACCAATTAAAACTACTGCACTGATTAGGCTGGGCGCGGTGGCTCACGCCTGTAATCCTAGCACTTTGGGAGGCCGAGGAGGGCGGATCACCAGAGGTCGGGAGTTCGAGACCAGCTTGACCAACGTGGAGAAACCCTGTCTCTACTAAAAGTACAAAATTAGCCGGGCGTGGTGGCACATGCCTATAGTCCTTGCTACTCGGGAGGCTGAGGCAGGAGAATCACTTGAAAACCCAGGAGGCGGAGGTTGCGGTGAGCCGAGATTGTGCCACTGCACTCCAGTCTGGGCAACTAGAGCGAAACTGTTTAAAAAAAAAAAAAAAAAAAAAACGATTGCACTAATCTAAAGATGCTGTAATAGAGGTTAAAAAATAGCACTCACTAGACTCAAATGAGGAAACTGAAAAGAATGTTTCCCTAAGCTTAGGTTTCCTCTATGATGCTTAAATATACTTGGAAAATATCAAGGCATTATTATTTTAAAAGCATAAACCAATATTGTATTGAGAAATTTAACTTTCTCTATCATCTCTCACTTTCAGAGGTACTATATCATCATTTCTCATCCCAAAATCAACTTTTTATAAAAACAGATTTTGCGGGTACCCATGCAGTTTTGTTACATGGATGTTTTGCATAGAGGTGAAGTCTAGGCATTCAGTGTACCCATCATCCAAAGAGTATACATTGTACCCATTAGGTAATCTCTCATCACTTAAGCTGCCTCCATTCTTCCACCTTTCTGAGTACCCAATGTCTCCAAAACCAAATTCTTAGACTTATATTTTTCTCAATATTGGCACCATTCCCACCCTCCCCTTAATGTTAAAGTTGCTATTAAAGAAATCAATTTGCTAATAAAAAGCCTTTCTGAAATATGATTTATCATTCTCTTATTCAAGTAGTCCAGAATTTTTTAAAGATCCATTTTTTTCCTGTGGATTCAACAGACAAAAGGCCAGGCGCGGTGGCTCACAACTATAATCCCAGCACTGTGGGAAGCCAAGGTGGGCAGATCACTTGAGGTAAATTCAATCCCAGCCTGGCCAACACAGTGAAACCCTGTCTCTACTAAAAATACAAAAATCAGGCCGGGCATGGTGGCTCACACTTGTAATCCCAGAACTTTGGGAGGCTGAGGCAGGCAGATCACCTGAGGTCAGGAATTCGAGACGAGTCTGGCCAACAGGGTGAAACCCCATCTCTACTGAAAATACAAAAAAGTATCCAGGCATGGCAGCGTGCGCCTATAATCCCAGCTACTCAGGAGGCTGAGACAGAATAATCACTTGAACCCGGGAGGCAGAGGCTGCAGTGAGCCAAAATCATGCCATCGCACTCTAGCCAGGGCAACAAGAGCAAAACTCCATCTCAAAAAAAAAAAAACTACAAAAATTAGCTGGGCATGGTGGCACATGCCTGTAATCCCAGCTACTCGGGAGGCTGAGCCAGGAGAATTGCTTAAACCAGGGAGGCGGAGATTGCAGTGAGCCGAGCTCGCACCACTGCACTCCAGGCTGGGGAACAGAGCGAGACTTGATCTCAAATATAAATAAATAAATAACAAAAATTAGCCCGGTGGTGGCACATGCCTGTAGTCCCAGCTACTTGGAGGCTAAGGCAGCAGAACTGATTGAACCCAGGAGGCGGAGGTTGCAGTGAGCCAAGATCACTCCACTGCACTCCAGCGTGGACGACAGTGAGACTGTCTGCAAAAAAAAAAAAAAAAGTTTTAAGAGACAAAAACTGAAGTCATCAAAATTTTAAAACAGTTCCTTGTAAAACACTCCATAAGTTTGATTTTAATTTTTTTTTTTTTTTTGAGAAATAGTCTTGCTCTATTGCCCAGGCTGGTGTGCAATGGTGGGATCTCGGCTCACTGCAACCTCCACCTCCCAGGTTCAAGCGATTCTTCTGCCTCAGCCTCCCGAGTAGCTGGGATTATAGGCGCGTGCTACCACAACCAGCTAATTTTGTATTTTCAGTAGAGATAGGGTTTCACCATGTTGGTCAGGCTGGTCTTGAACTCCTGACCTCAGGTGAGCCGCCAGCCTCAGCCTCCCAAAGTCCTGGGACTACAGTGAGCCTCTGTGCCCAGCCTAATTTAATTTTTAATTTTATTAATTTATTTTATTTGTATTTATTTTTTTTTTGAGAGGGAGTCTTGCTATGTCGCCCAGGCTGGATTGCAGTGGCATAATCTGGGCTCACTGCAACCTCCGCCTCCCGGGTTCAAGCAATTCACCCGCCTCAGCCTCTTGAGTAGCTGAGATTACAGGCATGTGCCACCATGCCCAGCTAATTTTTGTATTTTTAGTAGAGACGGGGTTTCACCATGTTGGTCAGGCTGGTCTTGAACTCCTGATCTCACGTAATCTGCCCACCTCAGCCTCCCAAAGTGCTGGGATTACAGGCATGGGTCACCACGCCGAGCCTGATTTAATTTTTAATTTAATTTTATTAATTAATTAATTTTTTTTTTTAGATGGAATTTCACTCTTGTTGCCCAGGCTGGAGTGCAATGGCGCAATCTCAGCTTACTGCAAATTCCACCTCCCGCATTCAAACAATTCTCCTGCCTGAGCCTCCCAAGTAGCTGGGATTTCAGGCGTGCGCCACCACACCAGGCTAATTTTTGTATTTTTAGTTGAGACAGCGTTTCGCCATGTTGACCAGGCTGGTGCCGAACTCCTAATCTCAAGTGATTCGCCCGCTTTGGCATCCCAAAGTGCTGGGATTACAGGCGTGAGCCACGGTGCCCAGCCTATTTATTTTTAATTTAACTTATTTATTTTTGAGACTGAGTCTTGCTCTGTTACCCAGCTAGAGTACAATGGCATGCTCATGGCTCACTGAAGCCTCGACCTCCCAGGCTCAAGTGATCCTCCCACCTCAACTCAACCTTCTAAGTAGCTGGGACCAAAGACACAAACTGCCATGCTTGACTAATTTTTTTTTATTCGAACAGCGTCAAAAAATAATAATAATAATAAGACAATAACCAAAACCTTTTTATTTTTTTTTGAGGCAGAGTCTCACTGTCGCCCAGGCTGGAGCGCAGTGGCGCGATCTCGGCTCACTGCAGCCTCCGCTTCCTGGGTTCAAGCGATTGGCCTGGGTTCAAGAGATTCTCCTGCTTCAGCCTCTCGGATAGCTGGGACTACAGGTTCACGACATCATGCCTGGCTAATTTTTGGATTTTCAGTAGATGTGGGGTTTCACCACGCTGTCCAGGCTGGTCTCGAACTTCCGAGCTCAGGTGATCTGCCCACCTCTGCCTCCCAAAGTGCTGGGTAAAAATTATAATCGTGAGCCACTGCACCCACCCAATAACCAAAACATTTTTATATGTATTTGTTACTAAATCAAATAAAGGTGTTTAAAGTGGACTATTCACTTTTCTTTTTTTTTGGAGGGGGCGGCAGGGGACAGAGTCTCACTCTGTTGCCCAGACTGGAGTGCAATGGCGTGATCTCAGCTCACTGCAACCTCTCCGCCTCTGGATTCAAGCCATTCTCCTGCCTCAGCCTCCCGGGTAGCTGGAACTACAGGCACGTGCCACCATGCCCTGCTAATTTTTTGTAGTTTTAGTAGAGACGGGGTTTGACCGTGTTAGCCAGAATGGTCTCAATCTCCTGGCCTCGTGATCCGCCTGCCTCGGCCTCCCAAAGTGCTGGGGTTACAGGCGTGAGCCACCACTCCTAGCCACTTTGCATCTTAAATACATATTCCAACACCTGAATTTTCCAATTATCATGTGGAAGATCATTTAAGTAACATCAAACCTTGGTGATGTGAACTAAATTTACCTCTTCAACTTAGTATCTATCATTCCATTCACTTCAGAGTCAACTAATTTTGAGGTACATAAGCATAATCTCTGAATAACAATTTCTTGCTGAATAAAGTTGATATTAACACAATCAAAGAGGTTAAATTTTACTCAGGAATCTCTGTAGGATTTTTTTTTTTTTTTTTGAGACAGAGTCCCATTCTGTTGCTCAGGCTGGAGTGCAGTGGCACAAGATTTTGGCTCACCGCAAACCTGCACCTCCTGGGTTCAAGCGATTCTCCTGCCTCAGCCTCCCAAGTAGCTGGGACTACAGGCGCATGCCACCACACCCGGCTACTTTTTGTATTTTTAGTAGAGATGGGGTTTCACCATATTGGCTATGCTGGTCTTGAACTCCTGACCTCAAGTGATCTGCCCACCTCCGCCTCCCAAAAGTGCTGGGATTACAGGTGTGAGCAGGCATGAGCCACTGCATCCAACCAACTCAGATATCTCTGTAGTCGTATGTGAAGCAGTTCAAAAGAAGTTCAGAAACATAAAAGAATTAAACCTTTTCAATATAATCTTTAAGCAAGATGGAAATCTGTAGTCCTAAACTCTGAATTTATACCTTTTCCTCACTGTTATTTTTCCATAACTAGATTATCAGAGGTAGCCTAATTTGCTGGATGGTCTCCTTTCTCTCACGTGTCTCCAACTGACCATTAAGTTGGAAAGATGGAACAGAACATTTTATCATTATGTTGAAAAATGGTCTAACTAGCCTTAAAGCTTTAAAAGCTTTGCTTTTGGACAGGTGTGGTGGCTCATGCCTGTAATCCCAGCACTTTGGGAGGCCGAGGTGGGTGGATTACCTGAGGTCAGGAGTTTGAGACCACCCTGACCAACATGGTGAAACCCCATCTCTACTAAAAATACAAAAATTAGTCTGGCATGGTGGCACACGCCTGTAGCCCCAGCTACTCGGGAAGCTGAGGAGGAGAATTGCTTGGACCCAGGAGATGGAGGCTGCAGTGAGCCAAGATTGTACCACTGCACTCCAGCTTGGGTAACAGAGACTCTGTCTCAAAAAAAAAAAAAAAAAAAGCTTTGCTTTTATGAAGATCATTCTTTTTGTTTTTGTTGTTTGCCTCCCAAAGTGCTGGGATTACAGGCGACCGCCTGGCCGATCATTCTTAAAAGCTCTAAGGTTATCATTGTCCTAATACTTTCACTTACTATCTTTAAGGAAGTGACTTTTCCTACAATTTGCTTTTCCTTTAATGAGTCCTCAATAAAAATTTTTCCTGACACAAAAGGTGAAAAAAGGAGAATCAACGCAGAGTATTAATTAGGACCTAAATCCTTCAATCCAGGAAGAAATAATCCTTATTTTAGCAAATCTATGACATTGAAACTGGTATTTAAAAAAAAATTTACCAAAAGATTTCAATGAAATGGTCTCTCACAACTAGGTTATAAGTACCACTTGGCTGATGGCAATTACAAGACTTCATGGATTCCAAGAATTTTTTTTTTTTTTTTTTTTGAGACAGAGCTTCACTCTGTTGCCCAGGCTGGAGTACACTGGCATGATCTAGGCTCACTGCAGCCTCCACCTCTTGGGTTCAAGCAATTCTCCTGCCTCAGCCTCCCAAGTAGCTGGGACTGCAGGTGCGGACCATCACACCCGCTAATTTTTTTTTTTTTTTTGAGACAGAGCCTCGCTCTCTCGCCCAGGCTAGAGAGCAGTGCCTCGATATCAGTTCACTGCAAGCTCCGCCTCCCGGGTTCACGCCATTCTCCTGCCTCAGCCTCCCAAGTAGCTGGGACTACATGTGCCTACCACCATGCCTGGCTAATTTTTTTGTATTTTTTTAGTAGAGATGGGGTTTCACCACGTTAGCCAGGATGATCTCCATCTCCTGACCTCGTGATCCGCCCGCCTCGGCCTCCCAAAGTGCTAGGATTACAGGCATGAGCTACCGCGCCCGGCCCACACCAGCTAATTTGTGTATTTTTAGTGGAGACCGGGTTTCACCATGTTGGCCAGGCTGGTCTTGAACTCCTGACATCAGGTGATCCACCCGCCTCGGCCTCCCAAAGTCCTGGGATTACAGGAATGAGCCACCACACCTGGCCATCTAAGAAATTTCTTAATCAAAAAGAAGTTAAAAGGTAGAAAAATATGCATCTTGTAATCAACTAAACAGGATAAAAGCATATTCTATGAAAAACTAAGGCATCATATTTGGTTTGAAAAATGTTCTGAGAAACAACAAAAAGTGAAACTTCATTTAGTTTCCAAAACCCTTAGACCTTAACTGTGTTTCCATTTATAACGTTACCTTAGTTCACCCAGTACTCAAGACAACTTCATCTTCCAGAAAGAGACAGCTAAATGCCCTAAGAGGTAGTTTCAAAGTTAACTGAGAGAAATGGGGGAATAAAAGAGCATTCGTTTTATAATTTTAAAGGAGCTGTTTAAAATTGTCTTTAAGTTGCCTATCCAAATACCTTACAAGAGGATTCTTAGCTCATCGGCAGTAAACCCTCTGAAAAAGATACATAAAATTAGTTTACGTGTACCCATTTTCTCTGAGAAAATTCTTCAATTTCTCAAAAGAATCCCTGTCTCAAAAAGGCAAACAATCATTTTCCTAAAAAAATTTTTTCAGCCAGGCGCGGTGGCTCATGCCTGTAATCCCAGCACTTTGGGAGGCCAAGGCGGGTAGATCATCTGAGGTCAGGAGTTTGAGACCAGCCTGGACAACATGGTGAAACCCCGTTTCCACTAAAAATACAAAAATTAACCGGGCGTGCTGGCACGCACCTGTAATCCCAGCTACTTGGGAGGCTAAGGCAGGAGAACTGCTTGAACCCGGGAGGCAGAGGTTGCAGTGAGCCAAGATCGCGCCACTGCACTTCAGCCTGCGCAACAGAGCAAGACTCCATCTAGGAAAAAAAAAAATTTTTTTTCAACTATATTTTACCAATTAAAGAGTCATAAAATAGGCTGGGTGCAATGGTTCAGACCTATAATCGCAGTGCTTTGGGAGGCTGAGGCGGGAGGATTACTTGAGCCCAGGAGTTCAAGACAAGCCTGGACAACATAGCGAGACTCTGTCTCTAAAATAATAATAATAGGCTGGGCACACTGGCTCACATCTGTAATCCCAGCACTTTGGGAGGCCAAGGTGGGCAGATCACTTGAGGCCAGGAGTTCAAGACCAGCCTGGCCAACATGGCAAAACCCCATCTCTACTAAAAATTACAAAAATTAGCCAGGCATGGTGGTGCACGCCTGTAATCCCAGCTACTTGGGAGGCTGAGGCACGAGAACTGCTTGAACACAGGAGGTAAAGGTTGCAGTGAGCCGAAATCACACCACTGCAGTCCAGCCTGAGCAACAGAGCGAGACTCAGCTAAAAAAAAAAAAAAAAAATTAATAAGAAGAAGAAAAAGAAAAAAAAGAAATAAAATATCTAAATGACATTGCCAGATCTAGGCTAAGTCTGGTTTGTTTTTTTAGGGGGAAGAGGGAAGGCAGAAAATAGATTCATTCATTGCAAAACAAATGAAGCATAGGAAATAATGCATATTCTCTTATTAAAAAAAAAATTATTTGGCTGGGTGTGGTAGCTCACATCTGTAACACCAGCACTTTGGGAGGCCAAGGTGGGAGGATTGTTTGAAGCCAGGAGTTCGAGACCAGCCTGGCCTATGAGACCCTTTCTGCATAAACAATTTTTTTTTTAAATTAAAACGAGTGTGGTATGCACCTGCAGTCCCAGCTACTCAGGAGGGTGAGGCAAGAGGATCCCTTGAGCCCAAGTGTTTCAGGCTGCAGTGAGCTATGATCACACCACTGCACTCCAGCCTGGGCAACAAAGTGAGACCCTATCTCTTAAAAAAAAAAAAAAAAGGTTTTGAAGAGTTTCTTTAATGTAAGTCAGTGTAGGCCAGGTGTGGTGGCTCAGGCCTGTAATCCCAGCACTTTGGGAGGCTGAGGTGAGCGGGATCACCTGAGGTCAGGAGTTTGAGACCAGCCTAACCAACATGGAGAAACCTCGTCTCTACCAAAAATACAGAATTAGCTGGGCATGGTGGCGCATGCCTGTAATCCCAGCTACTCAGGAGGCTGAGGCAGAAGAATCGCTTGAACCCAGGAGGCGGAGGTTGCAGTGAGCCGAGATCGCTCCACTGCACTCCAGCCTGGGCAATAAGAGCAAAACTCAGTCTCAAAAAAAAAAAATATATATATATATATGTCAGTGTTGAGTCTAATAAAGATGTTCCTAATAAGGAAAACTTTAAGTATACAACAAATACTTTCTAAATTATCAGACTGGAGTTTTCTAAAAATGGAACACATCTATATTTCATTACCTCAATCAAATTATTTAATAAAATCAAAACTATAAAAGGTTGGCCAGGAGTGGTGGCTCAGGCCTCTAATTAGGATTACATTTTGGGAGGCTGAGATGGGCAGATCACTTAAGGTCAGGGGTTCAAGACCAGCCTGGCCAACATGGTGAAACCCTGTCTCTACTAAAAATACAAAAAGAATTAGCCAGGTTTCATGGCGCACGCCGGTAATCCCAGCTACTCGGGAGGCTGAGGCAAGAGAATCGCTTGAACCCAGGAGGCAGAGGTTGCAGTGAGCTGAGATCGTGCCACTGCACTCCAGCCTGGCAAAAGAGTGAGACTCCATCTCAAAAAAAAAAAAAATTTTTTTTTGTTATGCATATCATAAAAGAGGCACTCTTTCTGGCTCTAGACTCACTGCTATAATGCTTTAGATAAATAATGCAAAAGTTCCAAGGAGGTTCAGTACTAAAGCACCCACACTAAGCTACAATCCTTAGCAGGAGTTATTTGAAAAGATAGTTCCAGCCGGGCATGGTGGCTGACGCCTGTAAAACCAGCACTTTGGGTGGCTGAGAAAGGAGGATCCTTTGAACCCAGGAGTTTGAGACCAGCCTGGACAAAATAGTGAGACCCTACCTCACTTAACAATACTGAAGAAAAAAAAATTAGCCGGGCGTAGTCATGCCTGTAGTCCCAGCTACTCAGGGGGCTGAGGTGGGAGGACTGCTTGAGCCTAGGATGTGGAAGCTGCAGTGAGCCATGATCACACCACTGTACCCCAAACTAAGTGACAGAGAAAGACCCTGAAAAAGTTCCTTTCAAAAGAAAGGGGGTGAACTTGTTAAAAGTCTTCATTAGCTACTGACTTGATCCACAATTTATTTTTCTAGTAACAATAAAATTCCGACTTGCTTAGGTAGCAAAATAAGAAACTACACAAAAAGATAGTAAGGCCAAAAAAGATTGTATAGTATTCAGAATGGACAGAAGAAACTATCTTTGCCCATCCTACATCTATATGGCCCAAAACTAAGAATCACGTGGATTGGCGATATTAAATAAGCGAAAGCAGGATGAATAAAAAAATTCTGTGAAATACAGGTCTCACAAATCTCCAATGCAGATCCTGTGGGTAAGAGACAAGAGCCAACTATTTCAGGGTGAAAAAGATCAGTTAGAAACCTATTAATATATAAAAGTTAAAGGAATTACAGTATGAAAAATGTAAAGAATGACTGGCAGTCCCACTGCCTTCACGAATGACTATGCCAAAAAGGGAAAAGAGTTTAACTTGAAAATAAATTATACTAAATGTTCAAGGACTAACATTTAATAAGGGAGAAGAGTGATATGGTAGGGAAAGCTTTGTGCCAACTTTCAACTGCAGCTGTAGTGAAATACACTAAAAGCCTTGTCTTAAGACAAAAGCAGTAAAATAAAAACAATGGTTTTAAACATATCCCCAGTGTCAACTGCTCATGACCATAAATTTGCCTTTTTCTAATGAACAACTAATGGGATAAAAGGCCATATAAGGGAAAAAGTAGTCGAAAATACAATCGAACAAACTTCTCACACAAGACTAAACCATAAAACCTGTTTACAAATTTTCATACATGTCAGAATTAAAGGTAAAAACACTCAAAGCTTAAGAAATCTAACATCACAAAGCACGAGATTAAATCATTCTTTTAAACAAGGACTGAAGTTCAGAAGCATTTAATTTAAATCAGTGTATTAACACAAGGAATCCTTCCATACTTCCTATTTCAGAGAGGGTTCTCCACACTCCTTTCCCAGACTTATGCACAAATATTACAACTTGCAACCCATTATTTTCTCTCATGTACAAGTTTTGTTTTGTTTTGTTTTGTTTGCTCTTGTTTTTAACTTTATTGGAGTGAGATTATTCTAACTAGTACCCATTTATTTATTTTAAATATCGGTTGTACCAAACAATGACACTTTTTGGAAATCAAACTTTATTCCACTAACATTAGCCAGCAGATTTTGCTAAACAATGTTTTGTCAGAAAAGGCATCATGGCCGGGCGCAGTGGCTCACGCCTGTAATCCCAGCACTTTGGGAGGCAGAGGCGGGTTGATCACAGGGTCTGGAGTTCGAGACCGGCCTGGCCAATATGGTGAAACCCCATCTCTACTAAAAATACAAAAATTAGCTGGGCGTGGTGGCGTGCGCCTGTAGTCCCAGCAGCTTGGGAGGCTGAGGCAGGAGAATAGCTTGAATCTGGGAGGCGGAGGTTGCAGTGAGGCGAGATCGCGCCACTGCACTCCAGCCAGGGTGACAGAGCGAGACTCCGTCTCAAAAAAAAAAAAGAAAGGTATCACATACATTCAATTTTGTACAACTAATTTTTCCAGTATGCATAAAAATTTATATTTGACAACAGAGAATATGCTTCATCATAAACACAGCAATATCTTTTCCACTTTGTTACTAATAAGTTGCATGTTTTCTTAGTAATTTTAAATACCTCCATCTGAAAAGTATAGGGTAGGCTGACCACAAAAGATGAAGCCTAACAGTTGGTAGGGGTACCGCACTTACATAATATTCTAAAAACGTGCTTTTCCTAGGTACTCAGTGACTATATACAGTAGTGAATATTAAACATTCCTGTATCAATCCCATTTCCTACAAAGTTGACCTAATTTCAAGCATAAAACTGAGGTTTCCACCTTTAGAAGGGTAGAAAACAAGAGTTAAGTAATTGGGTAGTCCTAAAAATACACATCACAACTACATGACTAAGATACTCATTTAAAACTTGTGCCAAGATAACCCCTCCCTTCCAAACTAAAATTGACTCACTGGCCTATTTTACTTAATTTTGAAAATAAAAAAATAAAACTAAATGGATTCCTAAGCACTCATTTCCTCTCTCTGCCCCCATCATTTAAAATATTCAGACTTTCAATCTGTGATTCCTCCCTGCAAAAACACTCAAGTAAAAACAAAACAAAACAAACACTCATTATCTCCAAGTTAACTACCTTGGAGTTAAAAAAAAATCATTAGATTCTGGAATGATAACCACTGTTCTAAGACCATATAAAACAACAGAAACAATGTCTGTGGTCGCTAAGGAACCATACATCCCACCCAGAGAAACGATCTCGCCTCAGATGATACTTGTCATCTGTGAGACCACCCCTTTAGCTAGAGTTAACCACTTGAGCAGGTTTCAATTTTGTCTCTGAAAGTAGGAAGCTATCAGTCTCCCTACATGACTCGTTCCACCCTTTGTGGATACTTCTACCTGTAGAAAAAAAGGTTGGCAAACTTGGTGGCATGGTGAGGACAAAGGGCATTTTGAAAGAACCAGTGACTGAGGTAAGCAGAGAATGTGAACGGAAAGAGGGTTAAAGTTCCCCCAAATGGATAATGACAAGACGACGCGGGCACCCTTTTTTTTTTTTTTTTTTTTTTTACCACCCCTAGGGTCCCATTCTTCACCACCACCCATTGGAATGCAAAGTTGGCACTACCACTACCCAAGATGCCCAACAAATCCTCAAAATGTCAGGGCACTCGGCAGCTTCTGAAATGACAAGCTGGTGCCCCTCCCCCACCCCACCCCCACCCCCACCCCCCAAAAAAGAAAAGTCCAATCCAGTCGGTGCAGGTCACCCTGCCCTCTGGGGCAGTTCCAGCCTGCGCAGGGAGGGGTTCCGACCGGAGAACGAAAAAGCACAGATAGACCACCGCTCTTTCCACCCACCCTCAGCGGGGGAAACAAAGGCGGCCTCCTCCGCCCGTAGACACTACCCTAACCAGAGAGGCTCTCCGATTTCCCGGTGCAGCCTGCCCTCCCGCCCCCGCCCGAGCCCCCGCCCCCATGACAAAGAAAAGGCACTCGGCGAGCAAGGCCTTCCTGCCTCCAGGGATGGGGGAGGGGGCTGCACGGGTGAGAAGCCCCCTCCACTCGCCCGTGCTCATACTCCTGGTCCCAGGAACTGCAGAAAGCGGCGGGGAGCCGGAGGCCTCGGCCGCGGAAGCAGGGTCCGGGAGGAGGGTGAGGGTACCTTGAAGTAGCCGCCTTCGTAGAGGGTGTTGGGGGGTCCGAAGATGGCCACCTCCCAGTTGTAGAGGTCGGACTCGTCCACCAGGGTGATCCGGAAGCCCTCCACCGGTTCCTCCTGCAGGGATTTCAGCTCGAGCATCAGGGCCTTCTGCGAGCTGGTCATCTGCTGCTGGGCCATCGCGGCGGCGGCGGCGGCGGCGGCGCCGGGCCCGGGCCCCAGTCCTCACGCACCGGCCGGGCCGGACCAGGCCCCTCCCCTCCGCTCGCCCTCCGGCCGGGCAGCACCGGGCCCCGGTCTTCACACACCCGGCGGGCCAGACCAGGCCCCACACGGCCCGTGGGCCCGCCCGGGGTCCTCCTCACACACGACGCAGGCCGGGCCGGGCCCTTCTCCTCACACTCGGGCCGGGCGAGAGGAGAGGTCGAGGGAGTTAGGAGAATTCGCTACGGGTCCCGGTCCCGGGCCTCCCCCCCCCGGAGGGGGCCTCAACTTGGGGGGGGGGAGAGGAGGTGGAAGCGGAGGAAGGCGGCGGAGGGCCGGCGATGGTGAAGGGAGGGGGCCGGGCCGGCCCGGGAACGCCGCGCTCGCTCGCCCTCTCGTTCTCTTCGGGGGCCGCAGGGGCCGGAGGGCGCGCGGGGCAGGAGAGGGTGGGGGGAGAGCGGCGTGCGGGGGTCTCGCGGCGGTGGCGGCGGGGGCTGCGCGGGGGGAGGGGCGACGGCGGAGGAGGAGGAGAGCGAGAGCGCCTCGCGCCGCGGGAGCAACGGAGCCGAGAAGCAGGGAGGGAGGGAGGGAGGGAGAGAGGGAGGAGGGGCGCACGCCGGGTGCTGGGCGGCTCTCAGCGGCTGGCGGCCCGACGCGCGTGCGCGTGCCCCTCCCTCCCCTCCCCCCACCGTGCCTGGCTCTCCTCCACTACCACCTCCTCCTCCTCCCGTTTCCACGCCTCCTCTCGGTCTCCCGCGCGGTCGCGGCGCTTTGTGACGCTGGCGCGTGTCCCCCGCCCATAAAGATCCCAGAAGCAGCGGGGACCAAGGGCGGGCGCAGGGATTGCCGTGGCCCCAGAGTGACGGTTGTGCGGCTGGACGCCGCAGTTCCAAAGGCGTGCCCGGGAAGGGAACCCAGGTCTCCCGGCTCTCGGGGCCCTCCCCACTGTGGATCCAGGGGCCTCCGCAGCCATCCTGGGACGGGCCTGGTCGCTGCAGGCCCCTCCCCGTGACACCCAGTCTGCGGTCCCTCCACTTAGTAGCTACTTGATTAGGATGTGCTGACAATGTGGGTCTTTTCGGTGGGAACAGACCTTCCCGCAGGCCAGCCCACAGGCAAGTGTGCCCTTTGGCACGTTACTCACCCTGGGTGCGGCAGTTCCACGTGAGAAACGGGGTGAGACAAAAAGGTCAGCTTCTGCTTCCCTTCTTAACTACAAAGAGGAAGTTGTGAGGAAAAAGACAATAACAAACTGGGTCTCTAGCCCTTCTCATTGTGATTTGGGGCAAGTGCTCAGGCTGCCCTTCGCCTTCGCCATTTGTAAAATAAACTACTGTGGTTGAACTTAGGGGTCAAAGTTCCCTATAGGTGCTTGTGGCTTGAATGTCCACCCTGGAACTGAGGGACTTTCGAGATAATCATAACCGAAGTGAGATGTGGGGACAGTCTTTGGTC
This sequence comes from Homo sapiens, assembly GCF_000001405.40. Classification (NCBI taxonomy): domain Eukaryota; kingdom Metazoa; phylum Chordata; class Mammalia; order Primates; family Hominidae; genus Homo; species Homo sapiens. The sequence continues at coordinate 33,816,278 of NC_000009.12, read as the reverse complement.
CCCCCGTGGTTCAGAATACAGTACTCCTTTCTCCTAGGAAGGCATGTCCTAGGATAACTGCCTAAAAAACATTTCCTAGAAAAGCCAGAATATTGTGAGAGTTCTACACACACAGTTTCGGAACTAGACAGATCTTGGTTCCAACCCTAGTTCCATTACTTCTCCCTGTATCATCAGTTTTTTGTTTTTTGGTTTTGTTTTGTTTGAGACAGGGTCTTGCTCTGTCACCCAGGCTGTAGCACAGTGGCGCGATCATGGCCCACTGCAACCTCCGCCTCCCAGGTTCAAGCGATTCTCCCACCTCAGCCTCCCAAGTAGCTAGGACTACAGGTGCATGCCTCCACACCCGGCTGTTTAATCAGCTTCTGTAAAAGGGGATTAATTATACCCAACACAAGCAATTGTAATGATTAAATGTATGTACAGCATTTAGCGTAGTGACTGGCACATGGTTAATGATTCATAGAAACTTGAAAGAAAAAAACTTTAAGGCATAGCTGTATTCTGGATACCACCACTACCCACCCCTTTTATTGAGACAGGGTCTTACTCTGTTGCCCAGGCTGGAGTACAGTAGAGTGATTATAGCTCACTCTAGCAGTAACCTCCTGGGCTTAAGCCATCCTCTAACCTCAGTCTCCCAAGTAGCAGGACCACAGGTGTGCACAGCCATGCCCAGCTAATTTTTGTATTTTTAGTAGAGACGGGATTTCACCATGTTGGCGAGGCTGGTCTCCAACCCTTGACCTCAGGTGATCCGTCCACCTCAGCCTCCCAAAGTGCTGGGATTACTGGCGTGAGCCACTGTGCCCAGCCAAGGACAGTTTTAGATTTATAGAAAAATTGAAAAGATAGTCAAGTTCCCCTACACCTGGCGCCCAGTTCCCCCTTTTATTAACATATTACATTAGTAGAGTACATGTATTACAATTAATGAGCTAATATTGATACATCACTGTTGACTGAAGCTCATACTTCCCTAATTTTTACCTACTGACCTTTTGCTGTTCCAGGATCTCATCCAGGATACCAGACTACATTCAGTTTTCCTGTTTCTGTAGATTCCTCTTGACTGTGGCAGTTTCTTAGACTTTGTTCTGATGACCTTAACAGTTTTGAAGAATACTGGTCAAGTATTTTGTAGACTGTCCCTCAATTGGGATTGTGATGCTTTTCTCATGATTAGACTGGGATTATGAGTTTTTGAGGGTAAGATCACAGAGGTGAAATGCCATTTCATCACATCATATTAAGGGCACAAATAGCAACATGACTTAGCAATGTTGATGTTGACCTTGATTGTCTGGCTGAGGAAGTGTGTCAAGTCTTTCTACTGTAAAGTTACTCTGCCCCTTCCTCCCCTTTTCTATACTGTACTCTTTGGAATGGAGTCACTCTACACAATCCACACTTAAGCAGCCCCCCCTCCTTTTTTTTTGGCCTTTTTTTTCCTGTAAAAGACGAGGTCTCAGTGTTTTAAAACATCCTTTTCTAGCCGCCAACGCTACTGTCCAGGTCTTGAGACCGAACTCTACTGGAATTAGAGCTCCCCTCAGAGAAGAGGGAGTATCCTAGTGAATGCAGCCCCTCTTATCAAAATGATGGTTTATGTCCCATTCTGTCTTTCCCTCCAGTACCAGTCAATTTAGGGACAAGAGGATTGCTGACCCGGAAATGTGAAAGATGATGTTGACACCTTTAATAGCAAGGCGGTGAGCAGATAAATAGGTAGAAAGGTCATCTTCAAAGCATTTCACCCACAAAAACTCATCACAGCCCCACCCTGACCTGGAGGGTGATGAAGCCCTAGTCTAACCCACTGGAACGTATACCTGGCACTCAGACCAGAAGCGGCCCCCTGGGCTCATGTCAACTCACAAACTCACTAAGCATCCACTGCGGGCATGCCTCTATGCTGGGAGGTTGGAAGCTCAATGCGTTAATGAGTTTTATAATCAAGGCTGTTTATTCTCAGGTCACAGGAACTGGAATTCCACAGAACTAGCTCATGTGTTTTTATTCTAGCCAGTAAGACATTGTTTATTAGTAGACTGCCACTGTGTCTTATTCATGCCTGAATCCTCAGCAACAGGCACACCATCTGACACAAAGTAGACACTAAGTAATTGTTCTCAAGAGACTCATGGCCAAGGACAGGAAGACAATGAGTAATCACAAAATCACAAATTGAACCCTACCCTCTATCCCCATGCCTATCTGTTCTCTCAAGCACATAGTAGGTGCTCAAGACTATAAATTCCAAAACTCTACACCAGCTACTCCAATGTTTGGCACATATTAAGTGCTCAAAACATATTTGTTAAAAAGAATGAATGCTAGAAACAGCTTCCTAGAGCTTTCTCATATTGTTTCATAATGGCATGTAGATTGACTTGCCTGATTGGTGCCCTCTGGTGGTAAAGAAAAACAGCACTCAAAATTTAAATTTAAAAAATAATATTTTTTTTTAAAAAGAAAACAGAGCGCTTAACGCTCAGTGTCAGGCATCACCTGGTACTTTCCAACCAGGGTACTTCTTCTTCTTCCTCTTCTTTTTTTTTTTTTTTTTTTTTTAACTGAGACAGAGTCTTGCTCTGTCACCCAGGCTGGAGTGCAGTAGCATGATTTTGGCTCGCTGCAACCTCCGCCTCCTGGGTTCCAGCAATCCTCCCACCTCAGTCCCCGGAGTAGCTGGGACTACAGGCGCAGTGCCACCACACCGGACTAATTTTTGTATTTTTAGTAGAGACAAGGTTTCATTATGTTGCCCAGGCTGGTCTTGAACTCCTGAGCTCAAGCAATCCGCCCACCTCAAACTCTCAAAGTGCTGAGATTACAGGTGTGAGCCACCATGGCAGGCCCACTACTAATTTTAGAGGAAGACTGTGGCTCCTTAAGAGTAGTGTCCAAGTTTTACATATATGTTAACATATTAAATTTCAAAAAGTTGGCCAGGCGCAGCGGCTCATGCCTGTAATCCCAGCACTTTGGGAGGCTGAGGCAGGCAGATCATTTGAGGTCAGGAGTTCGAGATCAGCCTCGCCAACATGGTGAAACTTTTTTCAACATGGTTAAATTTTTTTCCTAAGTATTTTATTTTCTTGTAGCTATTATAAATGGGATTTCCTTCTTGAATTCTTTCTCGGCTAGTTATTACTGGTGTATAGAAATGCTACTAATTTTTGTATGTTGATTTTTTTATCCCACAACTTTTTTTTTTTTTTTTTGAGACAGAGTCTTGCTCTGCAGCCCAGGCTGGAGTGCAGTGGAGCAATCTTGGATCACTGCAACCTCTGCCTGCTGGGTTCAAGCGCTTGTCCTGTCTCAGCCCCCTGAGTAGCTGGGACTACAAGCACATGCCACCATGCCCGGCTAATTTTTGTGTTTTTAGTTGAGATGGGGTTTCACTGTATTGGTCAGGCTGGTCTTGAACTCCTGACCTTAGGTGATCCTCCCGTCTTGGCCTCCCTAAATGCTGGGATTACAGGCGTGAGCCACCATGCCTGGCCATATCCTACAACTGTACTGAACTTATTTATCAGATCTAAGAGCTTTTGCTGGAGTTGTTAGGTTTTTGTAAATACAAGATCATGTCATCTGCATAGAGGGACAATTTTACTTTCTCTTTTCCAATTTGGATATCTTTTGCTTGTTTCTATTGCCTGATTGCTCTGGCTAAGACTTCCAGTACTGTGTTGAATATGAGTGGCGAAAATAGACATCCTTGTCTTGTTCCAGTTCCTAGAGGAAAAGCTGAAAGCTATGATAGTATGATGTTAACTGTGGGTTTGTCATATGTAGGCTTTATTATGTTGAGGTATTATACACTCCTTCAATGCCTAGTTTGAGAGTTTTTATCATGAAGAGATTTTGAATTGTATCAAATGCTTTTTCTACATCTCTTGAAATGACCTTATGGTTTTTGTCCTTCTTTCTGTTGATGTGATGTGTCGTCTTTGTTGATTTGTGTATGTTGAACTACCTCTGCATTTTTGGGACAAATCCCACTTGATCCTGGCATGTTATCTTTTTGATGTGCAGTTGGATTCAGTTGGTTAGTATTTGTTGAAAATTTTTACATCTGTGTTTATCAGGGATATTAGAGTGTAGCTATCTTTTTTTGTTGTTGTTGCAGTCTTACCTGGTTTTGCTATCAGGGTACTGCTAGCCTAGTAGAATGAGGAAGAATTCCCTCCTTTTCAATTTTTTGGAATAGTTTGAGGAGAATTGGTGTTAGTTTGTCTTTGTTAGTTTGGTAGAATTTGGTATTAAAGTCATTAGCAGTGAAGCCATTGGGTCCTGGGCTTTTCACTGTGGAGATACTTTTTATTATGGATTCAATTTCATTACTCATGATTGGTCTGTTCTGGTTTTCTGTTTATTCCTGATTCAATCATGGTCGGTTGTATGTGTAAAGGAATTTATCCATTTCCTCTAAGTTTTCTAGTTTATTAATATAGTTGTTCATAATAGTGTCTGATGATTTTTTGTATTTCTGTGGTGTCAGCTGTAATGTCTACTTTTATTTATTTATTTATTGAGATGGAGTCTCGCTCTGTTGCCCAGGCTGGAGTGCAGTGGCATGATCTCAGCTCACTGCAAGCTCCACCTCCCAGGTTCCAGTGATTCTCCTGCCTCAGCCCTCTGAGTAGCTGGGATTACAGGCATGCCCCACCACATCCAGCTAATTTTTTTGTATTTTTTTTAGTAGAGATGGGGTTCCACCCTGTTGGTCAAGCTGGTCTCGAACTCCTGAACTCCTGACCTCGTGATCCACCCACCTTGGCCTCCCAAAGTGTTATTTATTTTTTGACACCGGGTCTTGCTCTGTTGCCCAGCCTGGAGGGCAGTGGTGTGATCATGACTCACTGTAGCCTCAACCTCCGGGGCCGAAGTGATCTTCCCACCTCGGACTCCTGAGTAGCCAGGAGTACAAGTGTGTCCGGAATTGGTGGGTTCTTGGTCTCGCTGACTTCTAGAAGGAAGCCGTGGACCCTCACGGTGAGTGTTACAGTTCTTAAAGATGGTGTGTCCGGAGTTTGTTCCTTCAGATATTCAGATGTGTCCAGAGTTTCTTCCTTCTGGTGGGTTCGTGGTCTCGCTGACTTCAGGAGTGAAGCTGCGGACCTTCGCGGTGAGTGTTACAGCTGGCCAGTTTCCTTAGAATATTTTTTAACTTAGAGTTGGATGGCCTCCAGCTCCATCTGTGTTGCTGCAAAGGACATGATAGTTTTTTTTATGGGTGCATAGTATTCCATGGTATATGTATGCCACATTTTTTTATTCAGTTCACCATTGATGGGCACTTAGGTTAATTCTGTGTCTTTGCAATTGTGAATAGTACTGTGATGAACATATGTGTGCATGTGTCTTTATGGTAGAATGATTTATATTCCTTTGGTATATACTTAGTAATAGTATTACTGAGTCTCAGGGTAATTCTCAAGTTCTTTGAGAAATCACCAAACTGCTTTTTATAATGGCGGAACTAATTTACTTACCTATCAGTAGTGTATAAGCATTCCCTTTCCCCTGCAACTTAGCCAGCATCTATTTTTTGGATTTTTAATAATAGTCATTCTGACTGGTATGAAATGGTATCTCATTGTAGCTTTCATTTGCATTTCTCTAGTAATTAGTGATGTTGAGCATTTTTTCATGTTTGTTAGCTGTGTGTATATCTTCTTTTGAGAAGTGTCTGTTCATATCCTTTGCCCTTTGTCTTTTTAAATGAGGTTGTTTTTTGCTTGTACATTTGTTTAAGTTCCTTATAGATTCTGGATATTAGACCTTTGTCAGATGCATAATTTTCAAGCATTTTTTCCCATTCTGTAGGCTGTCTGTTTAGTCTGTTGGTAATTTCTTTTGCTATGCAGAATCTCTTTAGTTTAATTGGGTTCCACTAATCTGTTTTTGATTTTGTTGCAATCGCTTTTGGCACCTTCATCATGAAATCTTTCCAAGGTCCTGTGTCAGAAAGGTATTTCCTAGGATTTTATAGGTTTTTTTTTTCTTTTGAGACAGAGTCCTCCTCTGCTGCCCAGGCTGGAGTGCAGTGGCATGATCAGGGCTCACTGCAACATCCACCTCCTGGGTTCAAGCGATTCTCTTGCCTCAGCCTCCCCAGTAGCTGGGATTACAGATGTGCACTACCATGCCCAGCTAATTTTTATATTTTTAGTAGAGACGGGGTTTCACCATGTTGGCCAGGCTGGTCTTGAACTCCTGACCTCATGATCCACCTGCCTGGGCCTCCCAAAGTGCTGGGATTACACGCATGAGCCACCACGCCCACCCTTTTCCAGATAGTTTATAATTTTAGGTTTTACACTTGTCTTTTATCCATCATGGGTTGCTTTTTGTTTGTGGTGAAAGCAAGGGGTCCAGTTTCAATCTTTTGCATATGGCTAGTCAGTTATCCCAACACCATTTGTTGAGTAGGGAGTCCTTTCTCCATTGCTTGTTTTTGTTGGCTTTGTTGAAGATCAGATGGTTGTAGCTGTGCAGCTTTACTTCTGGGTTCTCTGACCTGTTCCATTGGCCTGTGTGTCTGTTTTCATACCAGGGCCATGCTGCTTTGTTCACTGTAGCCTTGTAGATGGTTTAAGTAGGATAGTGTGACGCCATCAGCTTCATTCTTTTTGTGTAGGATTGCTTTGGCTATCTTCCACATAGCTAGTCCATCACAAGTTGTGCTAATTTTTTCTGCTGTTTCTCAAACCTGTCTCTCCTCTCAATTCTTACTGTCACCCTGGTTTTCAGACCATCAACATCTCTCACCTAAGCTGTGCAGTAGCCTCCTAACTGATCCCTGACATCTTAGTGTTGCCCCTCTGCCCTCACCACTGAAACACAGACTACCTAAAACATAATTATCATGAGACTTCCCTTCTTAAAATCCTTTTTTGACTCTCTATTTCCTATTAAATAATGTCTGTACTTCTTCATGTAATGGACAGGCATCTCCTGTTCCTCTCAGCTCTACATTTGTTACTGTAGTAATAGGTAAATGTTTATAATTTCCCCTGAAGTCCCTCTGCTATTCAGTGCTTCCATGTATTTGTTCATTATGATCTTTTTCTCTGAAACTCCCTCACCACTTTTCCTCCTGGCTAATTATTTACTGTCCTTCAAGCTTAAGCTCAAGCATCATCTTTTTCAGAAAACCTACTTTGAAGTTCCAGAGTGGACCAATGGCCCCTTTTAATGCTCCCCATAGTCATCGTGTTGATCTCTATCTTTTCACTTTAAACATGCTTTTAAACCTACTTCCTGAGTATAAAGTTTGTTATAATTTTAATATTTGTATTTTTCTATGTCTTGTTGTTCTCTTTATGGTTTCTGTTGACTCCTGCTTATGGTAGTTTGACCCTTCAACTCTTTGTTAAATTTTATAAATCGCTCATATTTGTCTAAACTTTAACTTTGGGTTTCCTGAGAGACCAAAACTGAGATGATTTGCTTGGTTTCTGCTTGGCTCTGGAAGCAGGACCAATCAGGAACCATTCTAGTTAGATTTATTGGTTTGAATTTTCTTGGACTATGAGTATGGTGTAAATTCAAATTCCAGCATAAAAGTGAAGCTGGTTAGAAATATTAGGGAAGACTATTAAAATTATTAATGTTTTACAATCCACCGCCTGCAGAGACTGATTTGCTTATGGGTTCACTTGTCATATCCTTCCAGCTTTGTCTTTTCCACTAAATATATAGCCCATTTTGGTGCCTGGATTTATGTGGAGGTCTCAGATTCAGTTTCCTGCTTTGTCAGGTTCAAATCCTGTTAGTCAGTTAACCAGAAAAATTCTAGCTTCCCAGGAATGTGTCAGAGCATTTCAGTGTCCCCTATTGACATCTCATTCCCAGCTTTTTAAAAAAGAAAGTATTTTTATTTTCCTATGGATTGCCCCAATTCCTATGTGCTACCTCAGGCAGCCGCAATATTAACTAACAAAGCTCTAGGTTTTTGGTTTTGGCACACTTCCAGGGCATCTCTGGCTTCTGTGTTGACTGATGACTTTAGTTTCACCTCTAGATTGTTTGCATGCATGCGTGCATGTGTGTGTGTAATCATTTTGTACTTCCTCTACATTTTTGTGAGTTCAGAAATGTATTTAGAAGTATATTTGGGGTCAGGCACAGTGGCTCACACCTGTAATCCCAGCACTTTGGGAGGCTGATGCGGGAGGATCACCTGAGTTCAGGAGTTTGAGACTTTTCTGGCCAACATGGCAAAACCCCATCTCTACTAAAAATACAAAAGTTAGCTGGGCATGGTGGCATGGACCTATAATCCCAGCTACTAGGGAGACTGAAGCAGGAGAGTCGCTTGGACTTGGGAGGCGGAGGTTGCAGTGAGCCGAGACCACGCCATTGCACTCCAGCCTGGGCAACAGAGCGAGACTCTATCTCAAAAAAAATAAATAAATAAATAAATAAAAAGTGTATTTGGAAGTGATGTCAGTAAAAATGGCAAGCTAGGAACCTTCTAAAATTCCTATCTTCATAAAAGCAACTCAGAAAAATAGAAGCAAGTTTTTCAGAACTCTGGAAAATATCTAAAGGTTTGCTCTAATCTTGGAGCATTTATTCAAGAACATAGGCTGAATTTTGGTTAGAATAGTGAGCTTTGTAATGTTCTTATTTGCTCTATGCTCATCACGTCCTCCCAGCTACATGGTAGCCTTGAAAACCAACATCCTACAATCTTGGTGGAAAACAAGCTCCTGGGAGCCATAGAAAGAAACAAAAGGGGGTTGGGACTCATTCCTTTTTTTTCCTTTCTCTCCCACTGTCAGACAGCATGGCCTGTACCGTGCATTCCTTCCTTTGGAGAAATGACGGTAGGTTTCCACATCTGTGTAGTATCTCCTGCTCTGGAGATCACCCTGAGCCCTTGCATCTCCTACCAGGTAAGCCAAGCCCAGTCCAGGCCTGGCTGTGAGCCTGGGCCTGGAACTCAATTTTCCTGAGTCATTATTTACACAACAGAAATAATGAAAGTGTCTACCATGAAGGGATGCTGTGAGGACTAAATGAGCTGTATACATAAAAGGCCTGGCCCAGAATGAGCACTCAGAGATGGTGGATGTAGTTTTTTGTGGGAATAAAATGTTAAGACAGGTTCCCCAAGCTTCATCTGCGTAAAGTTTTAACATGATCTCTGGATGCTTGTCAGATAATTGTCTAGATTAATCACTTGAAAAGCATTACACACACACACACACACACACACACACACACTGTTTTGTGATCTGCTTTTTTCGACAAAACAAAATACTGGAACAAAATTTCATGTTTCAATTCTTCATCTAGATCATAATTGTAAATAGCTAATTGTGTGGTGATATGCAGAGTGATATTTAATCAGTCCCCTATTCTGAAACATTGAGGTGGTTTTCCACTTGTCATTGTTTGAAAAAATTCATGCCAAATGTATTTACAATATTATTCCCCTTACAATATTATTCCCTTGCCAGATTTTCTAGAATACATTTCTAGAAATGGAATTACTGATTTGAAGAATATGCATGTTTTTAAGGTTTTGATTTCTGTTACCACTAGAACCTTGCTAAAATAATTTTACTGAGAAAGTGAGGTGGTACATTTTTGTATGAGGGCCATGTTTTTTATTTTTTAAAAATTGCAGCAAAATACACCGAAGAATGCAGTTTAGTGGTATTAGACATTTATGTTGCTCTGTTACCATTACCACCGCCCATCCTCACACTCTTTTCGTCTTGCAAAGCTGAGACTTTGTATCTATTAAAAATAAGTCCCAAATGAGTTCAAAACTTATGTCCACACAAAGACTTAAACATAAATGCTTATAGCAGCTTTATTCATTAAGTGCTAAAACTTAGAAGCAACTAAGATGTCCTTCAGTAGATGAATGAGTAAATAAACTGTGGTACATACAGACAATGGGATATTCAGCACTAAAAAGAAATGAGGCTGAGGCAGGAGGATGGCTTGAGGCCAGGAGTTAGAGACTAGTCTGGCAACATAGCCAGACCTCATCTCTACAAAAAAAAAAATAATTAAATAAAAAAAAAGAGTTGGGTGTAGTGGTGCACACTGTAGTCCCAGCTACTTAGGCAGCTGAGGTGGGAGAATTGCTTGAGGCCAGGAGTTTGAGGTTGCAGTGAGCTATGATGGTGGCACTGCACTCCAGCCTGGGTGACAGAGTGAGACCCTCTCTCCATGAAGAGACATGGAGAAACTTTTTTTTTTTTTTTTGCTATTTTTTTGTGGAGACAGAGTTTTGCCATGTTGTCCAGGCTGGCCTCAACCTCCTGGGCTCAAGCCATATGCCCACCTCAGCCTCCCAAAGTGCTGGGATTACAGCATTGAGTCACTGTGCCTGGCTGCGAAACAGGAACTTGGGATGCATATTACTAAGTGAAAAAAAACCAATCTGAAAAGGTGACATACTGCATGATTCCAATTACACATTATCGAAGAGGCAAAGCTATGTAAACAGTCAAAAGATCAGTGATTGCCAGGAGTTAGGGAGCGTGAGGAATGAACAGGTGGAGCACTGAGGATTTTGGGCGTCAATAAACAATTCTGTATGATACTATTATGGTGGATACATGTCATTATATATTTGTCCAGACTTACAGAATATGCAACATCAACCGTGAACACTAATATCAACTATGGACTCTGGGTCATAATGATGTGTCAGTGTAGGTGCATTGATGGGAACCAATGTAACACTTTAATATAGGATGTTGACAGTCGGGGAGGCTGCGCATTTGGGGAAAGGGTGAAGGGTACATAGGACCTCTCAGTACTTTGGGCTCATTTTTGCTTTGAACATATAACTGCTTTAGTAAATAAAGTCTGTTAAAAAGTATTTTTAAAAAAGATAATGAATAGATACAAACACCAAGATGACAAAGAAATTCAAATGATTTGATAGATGTCTTAAAGCAGTCATGATAAAAATGCCTCCAATGGCCGGGTGCGGTGGCTCAGGCCTGTAAACCCAGCACTTTGGGAGGCCGAGTGGGGTGGATTATCTGAGGTCAGGAGTTCGAAACTGGCCTGGCCAACATGGCGAAACCCTGTCTCTACTAAAAGTACAAAAATTAGCCAGGCGTAATGGCATGCGCCTGTAGTCCCAGCTACTTGGGAGGCTGAGGCAGGAGAATCACTTGAACCCGGGAGGTGGAGGTTGCAGTGAGCTGAGATCACGCCACTGCACTCCAGCCTGGGCGACAGAGTGAGACTCCATCTCAAAAAAAACAAACAAAAAAAGCCTACAACAAGCAATACAAACATGCTTGCAAAGAAAGAGAAGATACAAAGAAGAGATTGAGAACCGAAAAATAATAATATAAATAACAATATAAACCTCAGCATATGGGCTCAACAGCAGAATGGAAGGGATAGAGAAAATAAATTAGTGAACTTCAAGATAGAACAATACAAATTACCCCAGCTGAAGAACAGAGAGAAAGTGGACTGGAAAAAAAAAGTGAACAGAGTGTCAGGAACCTGTAGGACCAACAAAGGATCTAACATTCAAAACACTGTTGTCCCAGAAGGAGAAGAGAAGGAGAACACGGCAAAATAAGTACTTGAAGAAATAATGACCAAAAATTTTCCAAATTTGATTTGGCAAGAGACATAAACCTACAAATTCAGTGAGCTAAGTGAATTCCAACAGGATAAATCTCCCACATCCATGTCAAGACACATCCATAATTCAACTCCTGGGGTCACCAGGCTGAGGTGGCAAACATACTAACTGTGATTTGTGCAGAGCAAAATTATTTCCATTTATAGAGGAAGAGACTGAGATTCAGAAGGGTTCTGTCTTGCCCAAGAATACAGATCTTGGCAGAGCTCACCACAAGGCCAACGGAAGCCATGGAGAGCGCTGTGAACTGTGGGAATTGCTGCAGGTGACATCTAAAAGGAGATTTATTGAGGATCAAGGCAGAGGTCCCCAGAGGACAAACTGTACATCTGATTCCTTCCTCCTGCTTTTCTTCCTGGCCGAAATAGATGATTGAATTCATCTTTCTTCTGGCACCTTGTCTCAGAGACTTCCCTTGCCACAGTTCCAGACCCATCCAGGCCATGACTGCCATGTAGACGACACACCTCTCTGCTCACAAATAACTGGCCAAGCCTGAGGTAGCCAGGTTTTGGAGCATTGATAATATGGGTTTTTCCTGTGTTGCCCCTAAACATGTTGTTTCATTTTGTCCCCTTGTCATGGGGTCTTCACAGAACTCCTGCCTTAGAGGATAAGGAGAGACTCTTGCTGTAGCAACTGTAGACACCGGTGTGCACTAAATAGGGAGGTGAACCTTGGCAGAAGATGGAAAATTTTTTTGGAGAAGGGGATTTTTGGATCAGTGCTTGTGGCTCTGACTCTCTTTCTGAAAGGGAATACCCAAGAACATGAGGATTTTCTGTATCTAGAGCTTGAAGACTAGCCTTCTCCAGTATTTTGCGCTCTTCCTTAAACGATCACAATATAGTCTGAGGTCAGCTTTCTTCAAACAGGAATGACCTTACAGGCAGAGAAGATAGCTATAGGTGGAGACTGTTACCTCATACTGTAGACTCAGATGTGTAGGATAGGTTCAGATCCAGCTGCCCAAGCTCAATTTGGAGGACATGCCATTCTTGGTACTGTTCATTCTGAACTATAAATTTCTTTGTCTGCTTCTCTAAGACATCTTTCTGTCTTGTGTTTACTGCTTAGCACACCAAACCACTGTCCTTCAATTATGATAACAGTGAATCATTTCTGTGTGCTTACTATATACCACATAACTTAGTATACAGCCTGTAACTCATATAAGTTAAGAATTTTTTCTTCATTTTATCATCACAACCACCTTGGAATTGCCCATTTTCCAGATGATCAAATGAGGTTTCTGGAGGTGAAGTGACTCTTCCATCTCCCAGAGCAGCAGCTCCCAGCCAGAGTCGGCTCTGCCTGCACCCAAGACCTTGGCAAAGCAACCAGAGCCAGAAAGAACCACGAGAGAAGCTTTCAATGACTTTCAGCCACTTTGTCCCCCTTTGTTTCTCTTCTCCTCTCCTGCATTTTTCTCCATCTCCAGGTACAGTTCAGGATGTGGATGCCTGTCCCCACACAAAAACACTTGGGATTCATTCCTCATACCACAATTCATCCCGATTTTCCCCCCTTTAAAGTCAGATCTCACCTACCTGTTTGGTCAGAGATGTGTGTTTTAAAATCCCCAAGGAAGGAGGCAGGGACTGTGCCCTGAGATGATTGTTGGTGAAGTGGATTTATGCCTAATTTCAGTTTAAGAGAATGTTGCTGTGTCTCTGCCTAGGACAGGCAGCCCGCTGTGGCCCTGGGTGATGAGGAAAGGCCACAGAGGCCCAGGGTTTTATCACCTGTGGCTGCCAGTGTCTGCAGAGCCAGAATTGAGCTAATCCATGAAAGAATGAGCGCTGGTGGGCAGTTGTATGGCAGGTTGCTATGGGGCTTCTTGATCTCTCAAATTCCAGGTGACAAGATCAATGCATCCTTGAGGGGCCCCTTCCCAGCAGGCTCTGGTGGCTACAAACTGGTTCAGGTGTGGAAGATCATACCACTTTACCTTTGGTTTTTCTTTGAAAAGCAAACAACGAAAGACAGATGAAAACAAGAATTCTACCCGTGGGCAGGCAAGAATTCTCTTCGGGAAAAGGGATGTTTGTGGCTCTTCCACACATTGGCCTTGAAAGAGGTTGTTTGCAGAGTGGCTATTATTAAAATGTCCAAAAAATAGAAAATGCTGGTGAGGCTGCAGAGGAAAGGGAATGCTTATACACTGTTGGCCAGAGTGTAAATTAGTTCATGGAAAAATTATAAAGAAAGCAGTTTGGAGATTTCTGAAATAATTTAAAACAGAACTACCATTCCACCCAGCAATTCCTTTACTGGGCATTTACCCAAAGGAAAATAATTGTTCTGCCAAAAATACACATGCTCTTGCATGTCCATCACAGCAGTATTCACAATAGCAAAGCCATGGAATGAACCTAGGTGGCCATCAGCGGTAGACTGGATAAAGGAAATGTGGTACATATACACCATGGAATACTATGCAGCCATGAAAAGAATGAAATCATGTCCTTTGCAGCAACATGGATGGAGCTGGAGACCATAATCCTAAGCAAATTAACATAGGAATGGAAAACCAAATATCATATTCTCATGTATAAGTGGGAGCTGAGCACTGGGTACACATGGATGTAAGACGGGAACAGTAGACACTGCAACTACTAGAGGGAAGAGAGAAGGAGGGTGGAAAGGGCTGAAAAACTACCTATTGGGTACTGTGCTCACTGCCTGAGTGACGAGATCATTTGTGCCCCAAACCTCAGCATCACACAATATACCCGTGTAACAAACCTACACGTGTACCCCCTGAATCTAAAATAAAAGTTGAAATAATTTTTTTAAAACATAGGGCCTGGGCCAGAAGCGGTGGCTCATGCCTGTAATCCCAGCACTTTGCATCACTTGAGGTCAGGAGTTCAAAACCAGCCTTGCCAACATGGTGAAACCCTGTCTCTACTAAAAACACACACACAAAAAATTAGCTGGGCACGGTGGTGCACGCCTGTAATCCCAGCTACTTGGGAGGCTGAATCACTTGAGCCCTGGAGGCGGAGGTTATAGTGAGCAGAGATCATGCCATGGCATTCCAGCCTGGCTGTAGTTGAGCCAGAAGGAGATATTTTGTGTGAAGGCTGAGGTGGGGGCTCTTCAGAGCCTCTGTGAGCAGGAGGCCTAAGCCGTGGTGGTGGACAGAGTTGTAGCTTTCTGCCTCTTTGCCCTTTGGCATGGACCCACAGGTGAACAGTACCAGCCTCCATCCCCAGCACACGCTCTGCAGACCTTCACGTCTCACAGTTCCATGTGAGCAAATGGACTGGGAAAGCTGTGTGGCCTGAGAAAAGGCAATGCCATGGCCTGGCTCTCACACAGTATTTTGTCTTGGATTTTGAAAAAGCCTTTTTTTTTTTAAATTTAATTTAATTTTTTTTTTTTTTTTTTTGCTTGTTTTGTGTTTTTGGTGGTGGTGGTGGTGGTGGTTTATTTCACACTGACCACTTGGAACAAATCCCATGGTTATCTGTGATTTTCATGCCCTGTTTCTGCTGGCAACCCTTCTGAGTGGGGTGACTCACTTTCCTGTATAAAGAGTTTGAGTAGCCCAGGTAGGAGGTGGAAGCAGCCATCTGGAAGGCCATTGGGATCCTTATGTCTGTCTCTTGGCTTCAGATAACCAGCTGGGCTTTGATAGGAATGATCTGAATGGAGACAGAAAACAGTGAAAACTAACGCTCCCCGCCCAGCCCTGTTTATATGAAGCATTTGGTTCCTCTCTTGACTCTTGAGTGATGATGAGATTCAGACGAGGCATTGACATTATGGTAAGAAAGGGAGAAAATGTATCTGTCTTGTCTGTCTATCTATCTACTGGATATATAGCTCCAAAAGCAGACAAACCCAAGGCCGTAAGGTGAACTAGGGTCTGCGTTTGGACTCCATGAAAACAAAATCCATGTTGAACAAAGTGATGTTTGTATGCAGTGACATTCTGGGTGACCCGTGTGTATCTGTCCATCGTGTGCAAGCCCTGAGCCCTGTTTCCCTCGGAAGATAGTGAGTGGTAGCCATCTCCTCACACGAACCACACATGTGGAGCACAGATGGCCCTCTCAAGGTAATTGATCTTACACATTTACTGTTCACCAAACAAGTGTCTGATGCATACTTGGGTATATTCCACAGCATGTGGACTGCGGTCCCCTGTGTTTGCCAGGAATGCTGTGCTCCATGTAGAGGTTTTCCTCTACTCCTCACTGCAATTTGCATGCTGCTCCATGGACACTTGGAGGCCTGTGCTCTGTTCCCTGTAACTGGAAATGTGCTCTGAACTTGTCTGTCTCCCTTGGCTGCTCCTGGCCCTTGGTACCAGCTCCCATGGGTGTCCACAACCACTTGGGACAGAAGGTAAAGGTGGAATTTCAAAGAGAAGCTTGCTTGGATCTTCAGTGACAAGCTTGGATGAGCTACATCCCTAACATGGGCCCTCTCAGAATTGCCAGGAGGAGGCTTTGGCAGGTGTCACAGGTGTCACGGGGCCTGCCCTCCTCTGCTGCGTGCAGTGGATGCAAGCCAGCCAACGTGTGGCCAGAGTGGCTGGATGGTGTCACAGCCCTCAGATGTCTTTCCTTCCACGTTTTTAAAAGAGTCCCAAATAACTCACTTGAAGTGTCTCAAAGGTGAGCAAGTTTTATGAAAATGAATCCTTCCTCAGTTAATTGATCAAATGGGTGAATCTTGACCCTCTCTAATTTCTATCCCAGGTCAGAGTGGGGAGCTGGTGTTAGCTGTGGGATTCACTGCAGCGTCCTACCACAAAGGCAAAGAAGATGAAAATGCAGCGTGCAGTGCTGGGCTTGATTCCCAAGTCGCAGTCGGGCTCCCGCTATGGTAGGTGGAACATCTCTCTAGCCTGCTCACAGAGATGGAACTAGGGAATTGAGGGAAGAGTTAGGGGGCCAGGGAGATTTACTTGAGTCTGATTTTCCAGGTGAATGAGAAGGGAGGGCTTGGTGCTGACACATTCTTGGGAGAGGCATGTCATCACCAACAGCATTTGTCATGATTGTTGTATTTTAGCAATAAGATTCAGCTCGTCAGATTTTTTGGGCCACCTCGAAGATGCTGACACATTTTCTGTGCTGTGATTGTTCGAAGGCAGAGTAGCTCTAACCACTGTGAGAAGCCCAAAGAAAAATCAATACCACCCACCCAAAGACCACCTTTCTGAAACACTTTTCTCTAGAAAACAGTGCCCCTTTTGTCCTAAGCTTCGTATTATTTTTGGATTCCATCTCTTTGTATATGCTACTCTAGTGTACCATGGAACACATTTTGGGAGCTGGCGGCTCTGCTTACCCTTCAGGGGGACAGCCCTGTCTGACCTGAGATTGGAGGATGCTTTCCAGTGTGAAGGAGTGTGAGGGAGCCGGCACAGACACAGAGTGAGAGCAGGGCCACTTTATTGGTATAGAGACTGCAGAGGGACCGGGGGCTTTAGCTGTTGGCAGCGATGGTGTCCTTAATCCAGTCCACATAGTTGTAGACCTTGGTGTAGACTCCAGGCCTGTTCTTCCAGGCACAGCCATGGCCCCAGGAGACAACTCCTTGGAGCTGTCCGTTGCAGACCACAGGGCCACCAGAGTCACGCTGGGGAGAAGAAGGGACAAGTTGTATAAAGAGAGAGATGGAGGAGGAATATAGCTACATTTACTGTGAACCTTAAAAGACCCCTTTCCAGCCAGCTCTGTGGCTCCACGTCCTTCCCACGGTGGCCCATTCTCTGTTCTTCCTAAGCAGGCAGCGTGCAGCACAAGGGAGCCTCCCTCATTTCCCAATGGGGGCACTGCAGGGAGCCTCCTCAGCCCCGCCACCTTCCTCGTTTCTCCATGGGGGCAATGCAGGGAGCCGCCTCAGCCCCGCCACCTTCCTCATTTCTCCATGGGAGCACTGCAGGGAGCCGCCTCAGCCCTGCCACCTTGGGAGTTCAAATCTTTTTCCCCGGTGGGGCCTGGGTATCGGTGGGAGCCTCAGCATGGGAAAGGGTCAAATCACCTGGCAGGAATCCTTGCCTCCCTCAAGGAAGCCCACACAGAACATGCTGTTGGTAATCTTTCCAGGGTAGGAGGCTTTACACTCAGCCTGGGTCAGCACCGGAGCATCCAGGCACTTCAGCTCGTCTGGGTAGTCAGCTGTGAGGATCAGGAAGAGATCAAAGAAAGTAGAAATGTGGGTGAGGCCAGAGAAGGAGACAATAATCTGGGATGGAACATTGAAGAGGAACACTGCCTCTGGAGAGGACTCCAAAACGTAAGTTCTGGCAAGGGACTCTGGCTTTTAGTTTCCAGAATGATCATTGTTGAACCCCTCCCAAGACGTGATCACAGCAAGTTCTCCATTTGTCCTATCTCTTGATTTTAGGAGCCAAGTCCTTGAGACTTTGCATCTCTCTGGTGCCCAGTGCAGAGACTGTGTGTAATGGGCACTAGAAATGTGTCTTAAGCCGGGAGGCAAGAGGATTCAAATAAAGGGGCATGCTTCGTTCTGGAAATTGTGAGGATGGGGGGAAGTAGAAGGACAAAGGGTCCCACTCACCACCAAAGCTCAGAGTGTTGCCCCAGCCGGAGATGAGGCACTCAGTGCCAGCAGCTGGAGGGGTGGTGGGCAGAGAGATGGTGGACACGCGGGCATTGATGACGGCAGGTGAGGAGAGTTTGATCAGCATGATGTCATTGTCCAGAGTGTCCCTGTTGTATTTAGGGTGGCGGATGATCTTGGCCGCATTGATGAACTGCTCAT